>NC_000010.11:84082489-84234004 GCF_000001405.40 Homo sapiens
CCCTTTCTAGATTGTGGATCTTCAGATCACTTCTGATATTTTCATTTCACTTCCTGAAAGTCCGGGTTGGCTCATGAAAAGTTGTTAAACAACATGCTATATATGACAGGTCAACCCTTACTCTAAACTTTCCCCATTCAGAGCATCAGATGAAGACTTCATTGGGTTTAACAGTGGTTTTTTGATTTCAGTAGTCCATTGAATAAGGGAGTTTGAACATTGTTTTATACTGTTAACAACTGTCTGCCCATGTCCTGCCTGAAATACCATGATTGTTTGTGGAAAGTATCTTTAATAAAGCTGGATACAGTCTGGCTTGGAAAAAAATAAAAATAAAATTCCAGGTTAGTGAGATTTTTCAATCAACACTTCAAATATTTCATTCCATTCTCTTCTTACTTGCATGATTTCTAATTAGAAGTTTGATGGCCGGGTGCAGTGGCTCACGTCTCTAATCCCAGCACTTTGGGAGGCTGAGGTGGACAGATCATGAGATCAGGAGTTCGAGACCAGCCTGGCCAACATAGTGAAACCCTGTCTCTACTAAAAATACAAATATCAGCCGGTCACAGTGGCGGGCACCTGTAATCTCAGCTACTCGGGAGGCTGAGGCAGGAGAATTGCTTGAACCCAGGAGTCAGAGGTTGCAGTGAGCCAAGATCATGCCACTGCACTCCAGCCTGGGCAAGAGTGTGAGACTCCATCTCAAAAAAAAAAAAAAAAAAAAAAAAAGAAGTTTGGTGTAATTCTTATCCTTGCTTTTCTGTGGTAAGTGGTCCTCCACCTTTACCTACCCAGCTTCTTTGAGACTTTCTCTTCATCTTTGGTTATCTGCAATATAAATATGATATGCTGAGGTAAGTGGTTTTTGATCATTTAACCTGTTTGGTGTTCCCTAAGCTTCCTGAATCTGTGGTTTGGAGTCTGTCACTTATTTTGGAAAGTTCTCAGTCATTATTACTTCAAATATTTTTCTGTTCTGTTCTCTTTATTCTTCCAATATTCAAATTACACATAAGTTACACCTTATGAAATTGTCCCTCAATTCTTACTGTTCTGTTCTGTTGTTTGTTGATTTTTATTTTTTTTCCTGTTTGCATCTCAGTTTGGGAAGTGCCTATGGACAAACCTTAGGCTCACTGACTCTTTTTTGGCTGTATCCAATCTGCTTATGAGCCCATCAGAGGCATTCTTCATTCTGTTACAGTTGTTTTTATTTCTGGTATTTCCTTTTTATTCTTTCTTAGAGTCTCCAACTCTGCATATATTACTCATCTGTTCTTGCATGTTGTCTAGAGCCCTTAGCTCATTTTACTTCAGAGCCCTTAGCTCATTAATTATAATTATTTTAAATTTCCTGCCTGATAATTCCAAAATTTGTGTCATGTTTGAATCTGATTCTGATGGTAGTATTTTATCTCTAGAAGTTTTTCTTGACTTTTAGTATGCCTTGTAATTTTATGTCAAAGCCCAGATGTGTTGTATCAGGTAATAAGGGTTAAATAAGTTTTTAGTGTGAAGATTTGTGGTCATCTGGGTAGGAGTTAGGCTATCTTTAATGTTTGCTGCAGCTATGCCAGAGGCTTCAAATTCCCCCAAGTGTCCTTATTGGTGTCTCCCCTCTTGACTTTAGGCTTCCCTAAGTACTCCTCCTTAGATAGAGTATATACCTTGCAGTTTCTTGGCTGCAATCTGCTGTTATTATACTGGAGCCCTGTTGGTGTGGTGGTAAGATGAATGGAAGAAGTGTCCTATAGTCTGATTAAATCTCAATATTTTAGTGGACCTGTGACTCAGTGCTGTGACCTTCACAAGAGTTTCATCACAATATAGCTTTTTTTCTCCCTGCCTTCCTTGGCTGTGTAATTTATAGTCTATTTTCTTAAAGCCCTCACATCTGTTGTCTATGTTTTTCCCCTGTCCGGTGAGACAGGAAGGCTAGAGACGGTTGAAGAAAAAGGAATCTGTCTCTTCTTGGTGCAACAATTTCCCGGCAAAATTTTTATCCCTGGAGAGTAGGTATTCATTATGAAGACTATGTGCATATTTCACAATGATTACTCTCTCCTTGCCAGAGTTACAAAAAGATTTTTCTGATATTCATCATGAGAACCTAGTAAGGTTCTTGAAGCTAAAAACCCATGGAATTGTGGCAGTCACCCTAAGACTGCACTCCCCAGGAGTTACTCAACCTCACCCTCATGCTAATCCACACTCAACCTCCAGCAATTTCCCAACATAACACCAAAGTGCTATAGTTTATGACTCCAGAAGCTTCCATCTTAGGTAGGTAGCTGTTAACTGTGTCTCTTTGGAGGGACCTGTCTCCCCAGATTTCAGGGTGATGGTTTGCCCTGCAACCTCATTCCACAATAAGTCCAAGAAAAGTCATTAGTTTTCAATTTGACTAGGTTTTTATGGTTGTAAAAATGGAAGTGACAACTTCCAATTTCTTCACATATAGAAGCTGAAACCAGAAGTCCTTTCAGCATTAACCTAATTACAATGTTACATAAAGAAAGGCTTTTGATTAAAAAGAAAAAATAAATGTATAAGGCATTTCAAAACCAAAGATTCTCCAAGCCAGTGAAGCATCTTCCTCAGAACTTCTACTGGGAAACAGGAGTAGGAGCATGACAACCCAGGAGGCTGGGGGTGGTGTTTCTTCCCAGAACATCCACAAACTTCCTCTAGAAGAGCCTGATTTCATTCCTAGCTCACTCTACCCCAAAGACAATCTTTTAACTATAATGATTACATTTGAAGAGATCTGGTTCCAGGCACAATGAGATATGGCTCCTGACACATTGAAATAATAAGCCATCACTGTGTTCCCCTTTATTTCAAAGATGGAATATTTACAATAAATATATAGCCATAATCTAGGAAGTATCAGTGTCAGGCAAACATTCTTGAATTTGAAAATTGAGACCAGGCACAGTGGCTCACACCTGTAATCCCAACACTTCGGGAGGCTGAGGCAGGAGGATCACCTGAGGCCTTGAAATCAAGACCAGCCTGGGCAACATAGTGAGACCCCATCTCTTCAAATAAAACTTTTTAATTCACTGGGCATTGTGGTGTAGTCCTAGCTACTCAGAAGTCTGAGGCAGAAGGATAACTTGAGCCTCAGAGTTTGAGGCTGCAGTGAGCTATGACTGTGTCACTGCACCCTGGCCTGAGTGACAGAGCAAGACCCTGTATCTAAAATAATAATAATAATAATTTTTAATTGGATGTCTCTACTCAGTTTCGCATAGTCTCAATATCAATATGTTATTATATAGAATATGTTCACTTCCTTGTCCATGGGTACATTTTTCAAATGTGTAAATGATCCCATCATCCATGTCCCAAAGTTATGTTAAAAATGTCTTACTCAAATATTAAACAAGACTAGAAACCAAAGAAATAAAAATTAAAAGAAGAATGATGTATTTTTTACCCACACTACATTCACAAAATAAGAAACTCCAGAAGAGCAGAGAGAACAGTGGAGCAGAAGCCAGGTGCCAGATGGCCTGGATTTGAATCAGCTCCACAGCTGACCACTGTGTCACCTTAGGAAAGTCACTTGGCCACTTATCTCTATGCTTTGGTGTTCTCACTGGAAAATGGGAATAATAGTAGCACCTGTGAATGTTGTAAAGATTAAATGAAAGAATCCATTAAAAGCTTAAGACAGTATCCAGCAGAGAGTGAACACTAAATAAGTTTTAATTTTTGCCAACTCCAGTGTTATTGTGCATATCTGAAATACTCCAGTGTGTCAGTTCCATACATGCCCAGCCTGTAACCTATTCACACTTCAAAACTTCTGGCTGAAATTGCCTAGTACTTCATACCCCTTTTGGCTTCTCCATCCCCATTGTCTCTTTAATCTTTTAAGAGTCGATAAGACTTTTGACCCAGAGATCGAAGCCATCCTGGCCAACACAGTGAAAGCCTGTCTCTACTAAAAAGACAAAAATTAGCCAGGCATGGTGGCATGCGCCTGTAGTCGCAGCTACTCGGGAGGCTGAGGCAAGAGAATCGCTTGAACCCGGGAGGCTGAAGTTGCAGTGAGCTGAGATCGCGCCACTGCACCCCAGCCTGGTGACAGAGCAAGAGTCCATCTCAAAAAAAAAACACTTTTGACCCATTTTATGACTTCCGATTTCCATTTGTTCCTCTACATGGAAGTCCACCTCTGGCTTGAATTTCACAACAGAATTTCATCTTCACTATGTTTGGTTTTCAGCAAATCCCTGGAAAGAACTCACAGTGCCCTTCCACCTCTTCCCACATGAGTAGACCCATTCCACTTGACCCTGCTCTGGCTTTTTGGATTCCCCATCTGTCACAGGGCACACACACCTCAAAATTGGGGTTCAGCCTGAGAGGCCATGGGGATTCTTGGCTTCATGCAGGAAGGAATTAATGAACCAGCCAATACAGTAAAGTAAAAGCAAGTTTATTAAGAAAGTAAAGAAATAGCCGGGGACAGTGGCTCACGCCTGTAATCCCAGCGCTTTGGGAGGCCGAGGTGGGTGGATCAAGAGGTCAGGAGTTTGAGACCAGCCTGGCCAATATGGTGAAACCCCATTTCTACTATAAATACAAAAATTACCCAGGCATGGTGGCGCGTGCCTGTAGTCCCAGCTACTCAGGAGGCTGAGGCAGGAGAATCGCTTGAACCCGGGAGGCGGAGGTTGCAGTGAGCCGAGATGGCGCCACTGCACTCTAGCCAGGGCAACGGAGTGAGATGCTGTCTCAAAGAAAAAAAAGAAATAAAAGGGTGGCTACTCCACAGGCAGAGCAGCCTGGGGGCTGCTGGTTGGCTATTTTTATTGTTATTTCTTGATCATATGCTAAACAGGGGGTGGATTATTCATGAGTCTTTTAGGAAAGAAGTAGGGAATTCCCAGAACTGAGGGTTTATCTCCATTTCAAACCATATAGGGTCACTTCTGGATGTTGCCATGGCACTTGTAAATCATTATGTTGCTGGTGGGAATTTCCTTTAGTATGCTAATACATCATAATTCATGTAAAATGAGCAGTGAGGACAACAAGAGGACACTTTTGTTGCCATCTTCATTTTGGCTGGCCTTTTTTTTTTTTTTTTTTTTTTTTTTGAGACAGGGTCTCACTCTGTCTCCCAGGCTGAAGTGCAGTAGCATGATCTTAGTTCACTGCAACCTCTGCCTCCTGGGTTCAAGCGATTCTCCCACCTCAGCCTCCCAAGTAGCTAGGACTATAGGTGCATGCCACCATGCCTGGCTAATTTTTGTATTTTTTGGTAGACACAGGGTTTCACCATGTTGGCCAGGCTGGTCTTGAACTCCTGACCTCAAGCCATCCGCCCTCCTCGGCCTCCCAAATTACTGGGATTACAGGCTTGAGACTGGACTTGGCTGGCTTCTTTACCACCTCCTGTTTTATCAGTGGGGTCTTTGTGACCCATATCTGGTGAAACCAGTCCTGCCAAACTCCTAGCTCACATTCACTAAGCAAACCTTAACTGGCGACATCATAATCAGTAAACTCTTTAAAAGGCAATATAAGATAGATAGATAGATAGATAGATAGATAGATAGATAGATAGATAGATAGATGATAGAGCTTAAATGTTCATCCTCTGTGACTCAGTAACCTTGCTTTCGAAATACATCTTGAGAATAATACAAAATATAGGTGAAAAAAATACAGCAGACATTTTTCAATATGGCTTTATTTATGGTAGTGATGAATTAGAAGCAAACTAAATGTTCTACAGTGGAGGAGTGCTTAATTAACTGAGGACACATCCATTCCATGGAATATTATACAGTCATAAAAAGAATAATTATAAAGACTACATTGCAACTCAGAATAATGCTCATGAGTCAGTGAAACAGCCAAGGATGCAACTGTATATTCCATACAATTATAATTATGTAAAAATATGGATGCATATAGAAAGAAACCAGGAAAAAAAAAAGGATAGTAACTGTGTTAATGGGATTAGGAGTGGTTTTCTTTCTTTTTTTTAACATTCTGTAATATTATTACGTTGTTTTCACAGTAAAAAGATGTCCATTATAAATGTAAATAAACAGTTACAAGCCCAAATTCAGCCTCCAGAATCTCTTGTACTTTTAGCTCAAATGAATTATACTCCAGGCTTAATTTCTCATGCTCAAAGGATGTTCTAGAGGCAAATATTTTTTTCTTTCCCAACAGAATAAAGGAAGTAATTTTGTTTACTAAGGTAAATGTGACCTCCATGTTGAGTAATGTTATACAGAGATAACACTCTTGCTCCTGCATGAGCAGGGCATGTGTTTTGAATTATTATTCCCTCGTGGGGATAGATTGGAGCTGAGCTATCTTCTCTCCTTTCACTTTGCTCTCCATTCAGCTGATAATGAGGCATTTGTAAGGCTGAGGTCTGAGGGGCACTTGGGAGCCTGATCAAGCAAAGCAAATTGACCCATCTACCGAGCACACTGAGACCTTCTCCAAATACTCAATCCAAACAAGCTAAATTGAGCTATAACAGCATTGAGATAAAATGCTTGTAGGTGATTCTGTGCCAACCAGGTGAAGCACATTCTTTGACAACATAATGACAAATTATGTAGAATACCATCAGATAACATTGTGCATGTTTTAATATAAAGCACTTAGAGAAATAAGGGGAATTATCTAGGCTAATGATAAAGAATAAATACTATACTTACTGCTATGGTTTGAATGTACCCTCCAAAACTCATGTTGAAATTTAATTGCCATTGTGATTGTATAAAGAAGTGAGACCATTAAGAGTTGATTAGGCAATGTGGGTAGAGCCTTCATGAATGGATTAACATCTGGAGTGTGTTTATCTCGAGAATGTGTTGATATCAAAGCCAACTGGGCTCTCTCTTGCTCTCTTGCCCTTTTACCTTCCACCATGGGATGGCGTCACAAAGGCCCTCTCCAGATGCAGCCCTTTGACTTTGAACTTCCCAGCCTCCAGAACTGTAAGAAATAATTTTTTAAAAATAAATTACCCAGTCTGTGGTGTTTTTTTATAGCAGCATAAAACAGACTAAGACACATACTTACCAAATAATATACTTACAACCATAGTTTATGAGCATGATGAGGGGAGAGGATGTAATAAGGACCTCCTAACTTGGGTCTTCTTCCATCCTACCTTCTTATCTCTTTCTCGGTTCCTTCAAACCCACTGATAGTATTGTCTATACACACAGTCTCTGTTTTACTTCCCATAGGACTCTATAGCTTGGTGCTGTCTGCATGATAGTGAGTTCTCACACAATCTGGTCATTTAAAAGTGTGTCACACCTCCCCCCTCACTCTTTCTCTCTTGCTCCTGCTTTGCCATGTGACATGCAAGCTCCCGTTTCACCTTCCACCATGAGTGAAATCTTCCTGAGGCCTCACCAAAAAACATGCTTGCTGTACAGCCCGCAGAACTGTGAGCCAATTTAACCTCTTTTTGTTATAAATTACCCAGTGTCAGGTATTCCTTTATAGTAACGCAAGTACAGACTAACATAAATTATAACCTCAATCTAATCATGAGAAAACTTCAGACAAACCCAAATTGAAGGACATGCTACAACATATCTGAACAGTACTTTTCAAACATTTGAAGGTGAAGAAAGCCATAAAAGGGCTGAAAAACTGTCACAGATTAGAGAATAGTATGGAGACCTGACAACTAAATTCAATCTGATATTCTGGCTTCGATCCTGGAAGAGAAAAAGAACCTTAGTGGGAAAACTGGTGAGAATCTGAATAAAGTCTGTAGTTTAGTTATTAGGTATTTAGGTATTATACCAATGTTAATTTTTTTGTTTTGTTCATTATAATGTGGTTATGTATAATGTTGAAATTAGAGGAAGCTGGGTAGATAGTATACTAATAGGGATTCTATACATTTTTGCATCTCTTATGTAAGTCTAAGTCTAAAGTTATTTCAAACTAAGACATTTTTAAAAATTAGTGTCCCCAATACCTATAGAATCAAATCCAATTTCCTTAGCATAACATATAATATCCTTCATGATCTGATCTACTTGTCCAGTGCTATCTTCTATCCCTTGCTCACAGTTGCAATGTTTTAGCTATGTTAAACTTCTTACCTTGTGTCTTACTCTGTTTCTGCTGTTATAACAAAATATATTATACTGGGTAATTTATGAACAACAGGAATTTAGTACTTACAATTCTGGGGGCCATGAAATCCAAGATCATGACACCAGCAGATCCAGCGTCTGGTGAGGGCCAGATCTCTGCCTCAAAGATGGCACCTTGGTGCTGTGTCCTCGAAGGGTGAAAGGTGGAAAGCAGCTCCCTTCAGCCTCTTTTGTAAGGGTACTAATCCCACTCATAAGGGCTGAGCCCTCATAACTTAATCACTTCCCAAAATGTGCCAGCTTTCAATACTATCACATTGGGTATTAGGTTCCAACATATGAATCTGGGGGGCACACTAACATTCAGAACATAGAAACTTATATCATTTTTTTAATAAACACACACACACATCTGTGCACGCACGCACACACACACACACACACGCGGCCCAAACACAACTGTCTAATTTTGTTGTTAATAGACATATGATGATATGCTAATTGCCCTGATTTGACCATAACACATAGTATAACGTATAGAAATATCATGCTGTCCCCCATAAGTGTATACAATTATTATGTAACAATTAGAAATAATAATAAAGGCAAAAAAAAAAAAAAAGAATAAAGGGGCTGGGTGCAGTGGCTCATGCCTGTAATCCCAGCACTTTGGGAGGCTGAGGTGGGTGGATCACCCGAAGTCAGCAGTTTGAGACCAACACGGCGAAACTCCATCTCTACTGAAAATACAAAAATTAGCTGGGCGTGGTGGCAGGTGCCTGTAATCCTAGCTACTCAGGAGGCTGAGGCATGAGGATCGCTTGAACCAGGAGGTGAAAATTGCAGTGAGCCAAGATCATGCCACTGCACTCCAGCCTGGGGGATAGAGCAAGACTCTGTCTCCAAAAAAAATAAAAAATTAAAAAATAAAGGAAAGATTGCCCACCCACCCCTAAAAAAAACTTTAAAAAATAGACACAGGACTAAAATCCAAGTTTCCTGATTCCAAAATCACTGGTCTTAATAGAATCAGTATAATCCCTATCCACTCATTGGGCTCCCAAGTTATGACATTTGACATGCCATAGCTAAGTCAAGGTAGTCAACTCAATTTTACCATCAGCTTAACTGAATCTTTTAACAGAAAATAACACCGTATAATGGTATATGTCACAAATGGAATGAAGGACTCTGAACTCATTCATCTCAAATGTAAACACTACAATCAATTCTCATAAAGCCAAAGATGGGCACATTTATGCACATTTACAAAGTACATAGTTCTGCTTGCATTGGTCCCATTACAATCCTGTCTAAATCCTGAAGTAAAAATGAATACCATAGTGAAGAAATTACTTGTGCATGTGAAAGAGGCTGGTCCAACTCCTTAATTGCAACAGGGATTTGATTCTTCTACTAGTAGTTAGGAAAGGTTGCATTAATATTCAGTAGTTAAAATGTGCGATTCTAAATTTTTTGTAATTTCCCATGAGAGAATAAATTTTTTCAAAAATATTCCCAGTAGGTGAATGACTTTAATACATGGTATCTGTGAAGATGGCAAATAAAATGACTCATAGACTTATAATTTGGCGAACAGTTGAAATAGCTTTTCTTTATAGACAAGTTTTAGCCCTGTTCATTTGAGGTTGATTGAGATTGGTTATTGTACATAAGTATGTTGACAATTCTTTGAATTCTATTGACTTTTGGATTCCCAAGTTCTTTCCTGAAACCTGTATAAGCTAATACTTTAGAAGAGACAGCAGAAAAAAAGAGAGTACAGATAGATGGACCCAGAGGTGACTGAAAGTTCTGAAATAAAAGTAATGAATGTTAAGGGAAATTCTCTATTTCTCAATCTCCTGAGCTCTCTCTCCTCTATTTCTTGCTTGTAGAAGTAAAGGATGCCCTCTATTTATTTATTTTTTAAGAAATAGCAAGTTGAAGTAGCAAAAAAGGAAACTTCTTACTCCAGCAAGGAAAAGAGCCACTAGAAGCCACAGGAACAGACAAGCAATCATAGCAAGACAGAACGAACTGCAATCCCATCACAGGCTTTTCTTCACGGGGTGCTGGAGAACACCGTGGAGCACTCTGCAATTCACAGGCAGGACCAGATTAGAAATTGCCAGGACAGACGGAGTCACAGCAACTACACACCGACTAGTGATGAGCTCTCCTCCAGATATTCTTATCACTCAGGTAAACAACCCTTTTCCTTGAAAGTGCCACATCTGAGGATTCTAACCTCTTGAAGTAGGAGCTACTTTTCTGTCTCCCAAAGTCTAGAGGAAGATTTGCAGATTTGGATGGGCACGGCTGGCAGTTCCCAGGCAGGCAAACATTCAAACAAACCAAAAAAAAAAAAAAAAAACAGAAATTGTGGGGGATGGACCAGGAGACGGTTTAGTTCTAAGCCCCTCTCTCAGGAGGAGCACAGAAGTGTACATGAAAAAGACAACTGTCCTGAAGGCAGTAAAATTACTTTATGGATACATATTTGTTGGGGGAACTTAAAGATAGATAAATGAAAGAAAGAGAGATAAACAGGGATTAGCCTACATTAATAGAATAAGTTCTAGAAGTATATATCCATTGTATTAACAGTGCTTATCTCTGACCACTGAAATTATAGGTTGTTTTGTTTTGTTTTTGCTTCTGTAGCACATTTTTAATTCTTACAAGTTTCTAGGATAATCCTGGTCACTCACTGGGAGCCCCAGCTATGGGCAGCATCCTTTCTAGGAAAAAGATTAAACCAAATGATGAGCTGCTTCCTCTGACCCTACAATATTGTAATAAAAAACTGAAGAGGGAACAACAACAACAACAAAAAATCCAACAGGATCTGGGCACTGTCCTAAAAAGAAGAATAAACTTCTGGTGCATATTTCTATAGAAATATTCATTTTATTTGACAATTACTACCCAAATATTTCCATATGGCCTTTATTATTTTAAATTTTTTAATTTTTAAAATGTTTTGTACTTTTTTTACTGACAAGGTCTCATTCTGTTGCCCAGGTCTCACTCTGCTGCCCACTACTGTTGCTACTGTAGTGCGATCTTAGCTCACTGTAACCTCAAAGTCCTGGGTTCAAGAGATCCTCCTGTGTCAGCCCCAAGTGGCTGGGAATACAGGCATGTGCCACCATGTTCACCTATTTTAAACATTCTTTTTTAAATGAGACTACAAAAATAGCAAATGAATTGCTTTACCATAAGGACAGCATTTTACCTTACATTAATGGAACTCCAAATAAGAAAGAAAATCTTAATCCATAAATTCTCACCACTATCCCCACACATCTACAAAGGAACAAACTGGTTTTTCTCCCAGTTTTTACGTTATAAATGTTTGCTATGTTACATCTGAAATTAACTGAAGTCTATCCTTCAGTTGATTCAGTTCAATCCTAAACTGTTGTAAAACAACGATTGTATCAGCAGTGCTTTACTGACCTCAAACTATATAAAATTATAATTAAATACCATGATCTCCTGCAGAAATTGCAAGATAAAGAATTGATTTCTGGTAAAATGATGCAGAGATCTGATTCTTCCTATATTAGTTCATTCTCACACTGCTATGAAAAAACACCCAAGACTGGGTAATTTATAAAGGAAAGAGGCTTAATTGACTCACAGTTCCACATGCCTGTGGAGGCTTCAGGAAACTTACAATCATGGCAGAAGGGGAAGAAAACCTGTCCTTCTTCACAAGGTGGCAGGAGAGAGAAGTGCCGAGCAAAGGAGGAAAGCCCCTTATGAAACCATCAGATCGGCGGATCACAAGGTCAGGAGTTTGAGACCAGCCTGGCCAATATGGTAAAACCCCGTCTCCACCAAAAGTAAAAAATTAGCCAGGTGTAGTGGTGGGTGCCTGTAGTCCAGCTACTCAGAAGGCTGAGGCAGGAGAATCGCTTGAACCTGGGAGGCGGAGATTGCAATGAGCCGAGATCACACCACTGCACTCCAACCTGGGTGACAGAGCAAGAATCCGCCTCAAAAAAAAAAAAAAAAAAAAAAAAAAAAAAAAAAAAACACAGGCCAGGCACAGTGGCTCACACCTGTAATCCCAGCACTTTGGGAGGCCGAGGCGGGCAGGTCACCTGAGGTCGGGAGTTCGAGACCCCCCTAACCAACATGGAGAAACCCGTCTCTACTAATAATACAAAATTAGCCAGGCATGGTGGAGCATGCCTGTAATCCCAGCTACTCCAGACGCTGAGGCAGAAGAATCCCTTGAACCCGGGAGGTGAAGGTTGCAGTGAGCCGAGATCACACCACTGCACTCCAGCCTGGGCAACAAGAGCAAAACTCCATCTCCAAAAAAATAAAAACCCATCAGATCCCGTGAGAACTCACTTACTATCAGAACAGCATGGGGGTAACTGCCCCCATGATTCAATGACCTCCCACTGGGTCCCTCCCATGAGAAGTGGGGATTATGGGAACCACAATTCAAGATGAAATTTGGGTGGCAACACAGCCAAACCACATCACATCCCAAACAGTCTTTGTCATTAGCCCTTCAGAGCAAAAGCTCAGCTCTACTTCTCAGAGGCCCTGGCTCATGGGCACTCACAACCTGGCAGGAGGAAGCAAATGCTGCTTCCCCACTGTCTTAATAATTCGAATGTTGTGGTTAGTGTGCAAGCTGTATGGCTCCCATCTACTCTAAGCTTGGTAGTTCTGAGATACATGATGACTTCTTTCCTTGAAAATAGCCTCAAAGGAGGCTAGATATTTAAAGTGGATACTAATTAATCTGTTAACTTTGAATAAACTCCTTCCTTTTTCTGGAAGGGCCACACAAGAGAATGTTAAGATCTCTTTTAACTCCAACTATCACTGACCTCAACCTTAGAGCCTTTGCCCGGTATAAATCTTCAAACTTCAAATTTATATTTATTTCTAAAGCAAGAACCAAGAATAAGTAGCAAATGGATAATAAATGAATGAACATAAGTGCTTCTACATAAAGGGATTTAGATCTAAATATTATTCTAGTTTCTTTCAAGGACAAGGCTCAAGAAACCCAACATGCTAAATATTCAAGTGTTCTCAGAAAATCTGCTGAGCCAAGTCCATGGTGATATGAATGCTGTCTCCATGTGTTGCTGTTAAAATGCTTATTATAAAGGCTGTAACAGAAAATTTGTCTTATTAAATAGATATGATAATATAAATAGCTGCAATAGATAAGCCCCTCAAACCCTGTACAACATACCAAGAGAGGCATCTAGAATGTATAGCAGGAGGGAAAGCCATGATGGCAGGCTCAGATTTCTCCCCCAGAACTAATTTTAAAAACTTCAGTGCAAGCTCGCTGCAAGGAGAATTTGTATTAAGCACAGACTCATTTATTTTCTGCTGATGAACACAGCCATGTGAACAGCTGATAAAGTCCTCCCTCTCTCTCTCTCCCCCTCTGCAAAAGGGTGCCAAGAATGTAGTTATGAGTTTCAGCTTCAAATTTTAAAACCACCCTATTTACTAATGCAATTATAGGTTTGTTGCCACTGCACTAGGCTAAATATATAGGTGACTTGATTCTATCTTTGCTAATTGTCTTACTTAGCAGGCCTGGCAAGGAAATGCACTCCACCTATCAGAAAATATGTTCTGTGCAACATCCACACAGGAAATGAATGCGATGGGAAGTGATATGAGTATTTCTGGAAAAGTGTCAAAAATCCTTAACAAAAAAGTTGTCAGAATGAGCATGCTGATTGTGCGTTTTGAAATCTGGGTGAGCAAATGCTGGCAGCAGAGTTTTCAGCTGCCTTACGCTGAGGCTTTACAGGGAAAGCTGCCCCATGGCCCACTGACAATGTGCTGGGGTCATTTCCAAGGAATTTCTTATTGAATCTCTGTTTCACTCAATCTCAAAGCCTTCAAGATAGTCACATAGGATAATTCTATTACAATTCTTTAATGTAGCCTAATTCTTTATAACATTTTTAATAATAATTCTATTATTTTAATATTATATTATAATTCTTTAGCCCTGCAGCTTGTTTTTAAAGCCATTAAACCTATAAATAGGGCAAGATACATGATTTGAAGGGCTCAGCACAAAACAAAAATGTTTTAAAAAATTACAAATTTCAAGACAGCAAAAACAGAGCATTAAATCAAGCACAGAGTTCTAAGCAGAGGGCTCTAGGTGACTGCACAGGTCGCACTCCCATGAAGACATCCTTACCTCTAGAAACGTTATTCACTTTCCCCACAGTCAGTGCCATACTGTCTATATAGGCTGCACTTCTCTCCATGTATCCACTGCAATTCCTCTGATCAACTTCTTACACATAGACAATGTTGATCATGTGTGTGTGTGTGTGTGTGTCAAGAACCCTGGGGAATATGTTTTGAAAAGTGAAGCAGAGGTTGGGTGCAGTGGCTCACGCCTGTAATCCCAACAGTCTGGGAGGCCGAGGAGGGTGGATCACTTGAGGTCAGAAGTTCGAGACCAGCCTAGCCAACATAGTGAAACCCTGTCTCTACTAAAAATACAAAAATTAGCTGGGCATGGTGGCATGTGCCTGTAATCCCAGCTACTCAGGGAGGCTGAGGCAGGAGAATCACTTGAACCCAGGAGGCAGAGGTTGCAGTGAGCCAAGATCACGCCATTGCACTCCAGCCTGGGGAATGAGAGGAAAACTCCATCTCAAAAAAAAAAAAAAAAAAAAAAAAGGAAAGAGAAGCAGAGAACACTGCCTCTGATTTACTCTGTCTCATTGAGCTTACTACCAGGTGTGTTTAGGCCTTGGACTCATGGGCCAAAGCACAAGATGCTCACCTTTTGTCTCTGCTGTAAATTATTTTTCAAACATAAAACACTGCCTTAAACTTAATAACATTAAATGCTCAGACTCATAATACAAAAAAAGAATATTGAAGGAAGAAATGTCAGCATTTTACTTAGAGGTATAATAAGGCTATGGGGGGTTAGGCATGAAATATAAAATATGAACTGCTAGAATAGGCGTACTTCCATTGATATTAATAAATAGCATTCGGCATTTAATCAGGAATGATCGAGACATAATCTGTTCAAATTAATCCTACAGCATAACAGATTCAAAATCACTATAAATAATTTAAGGTTTTTCATTATTAATATTTTCTTTTCTTTAAAGCCTGAATTATCCAAAGATATTAAAAATGGTCCCATGTTAATGGACCTGATTTTAATGACCTATTCGAGTGCCGCATCTGCAGAACATTGCTTAGGGAAATTTTTGAACAGTAAATAAATACAAAGAAGAAAAAAGCTTAAGAGAAAGAATGAAAAGCAAATGGACATTCGATTATTTCTAGGCAAGGTTCATTTTCAGCCTGATTTGTGACTTTAACATGCACAGCTAGCGCCACCTATAGAAACAATAAAAAATTCTGCTATTAGTAAATAGGGTCTTTCTGCAACAATTGAACTGGATCAAATGTCATGAAGAAATGAGGCAGCATTGTAGTAAAAAAAAAAAAACTCTGGTCTTTGTTCAATAAACAAAAGGAACTTACTCTAATGAGCCCCAGCACTGAGCCACAGAAGATTTATTGTAATTGGAAAACATGGTTTATTATTAAGGCCCCTTCTAAGTCTTATCCCAGACTATTGTAAGAAAGAAACAAGAGAAACCAGCATAATAGCAATTTTACCAGAGAGGGAAAGACTACTGAGTCTTTTATTTTAACTAAGATACAACATTGCTTGTACTTTTCTTCTTTAACTTGTTTATTTATATTTTAAAACATTTTGGGGGTACTTACTTTCTGCCAGGTAATTTAAAATACTCCGTTCTCCAGTAACATCTGACCTAATTGGAAAAAATAGTATCCCACATCAGAAGTATGAAGTGCCATAAGACTCATGGCATAGATGAAAGGTATGGCGTATAAAAGAAAGAGAAGGTACTTCTAGCTGGGCAGATCAGGGAAAGCTACATGGAGAAGTGGTACATGAGCTAGACCTAGAAGGAAGAATTTGATTGGGAAATGAAGAGATTGAGAGAGAAGGGAAAAGTGGGACAATAAAATCTGCGTAGGAAGAACAGCAAACAGTTCAGAAAGCAAGTGCAGAAAGAGACATTTGGAAGATTATCCTGGAGCCAAAGCAATAAAATAGTAAGCACTTGCAGAGAGTTTGCCACAAGCCAGACACCATTCCGCACATTTACTATAGATTCCCTCGTGTCATCCTCAGAATAGCCATTAATCAGCAGGTACAACATTTCATGTCTACATTGTACAGATAAGAAACAGAAGCACCACAAAGTTACATAACTTGCCCAACATCACATGGCTAGTAAGGTTTGAACCACACTGATAGCCACTACCCACTCTTGCCTCTTGATAATACAGAGTTTGAACTTAACTTTCTCCAAGATGAAGAAAAGTGGAAGAGTTGCTCATTTTTTCAACATAAACAAATGCTTCTATGAAAAAGTAAATAAATACTCATAACACAAAAGATAAAGCAAAAAGAAGGGGGGAAATACAATTTCACTTTCCAGAGACAAACTGTCAACATTTTATTCTGATTTATTCCAATACATTCTAAAACCATCTAAATATATTCTAAGTGTTAAAGTAATAGATACACATGTTAACAACCTAAAGAATAAAATAAAGTTAATACTGGGCAGGGCGCCGTGGCCCACGTCTGTAATCCCAGCACTTTGGGAGGCCGAGGCAGGCAGATCACTTGAGGTCAGGAGTTCAAGACCACCCTGACCAAGAGGTGAAACCCTCTCTCTACTAAAGATACACAATTAGCCAGGTATGGTGGCACATGCCTGTAATCCCAGCTACTCGGGAGGCTGAGGCAGGAGAATCACTTGAACCCAGGAGGCAGAGGTTTCAGTGAGCCAAAATCCTGCCACTTCACTCCAGCCTGGGCAACAAGAGTGAAACTCTATCTCAAAAAAAGAAAGAAAGAGAGAAAAGGATAAAAAAGAAAGTTTACACTGGAAAGAAACATAGACTACCTCACCCTCCCTGCCCTCCCTCCCTCACCATGTCTCCCACCTTCCTTGCCCCAGAGACAGCCTGTAGAAGATCTAAGAATTAGAGGCAATATCTATTGAATGCACATTTTCTGCTCCCATTCCCCAATGTTTGCAATTATAATACTGTTTTTAATTTCACTACAGGCTACCTTAATAGTTTTAAGTAATGTAGTAGTCCTCTATTTGTTCATCAACTTTAGTGGGTTCATTCTTCCCTTCACAAAATGGGAATATTGATACTCATTCCCTCCCTCTCAACTCTCCTCCCTTGACCTTCTGCAACTTCACTTTCATTTTACAGTACTAAGGTTGTTAACGTTTATATTCTCAGCTGTAACTACGACCAAGCCTTCCACTCTTTCTACTTAGGTTGACTTTAAGAGCTAAAAGCCAATAAGCAGTATTTACATTAATATGACTCTAAATATTTTTTACTGCAAAGCCAAATGTAATGCTAAGATTATATTTCCCTTTTTGCAAGTTCAGTGCCAATCCGTGGGCCACAGAGAGGAGCGTGATCCCTGTATCAAGGTGAAATGGGTTATCTTACACTCTACCAATTGTGTTAAAATCATTGCATATTTTATTTTGTTTCAGTTTGGGTTACAGTGACTTGTGGTCTCACGTGACTTTTATTTTGGGGGAGGTTTCAAATGGCCTTTTTTGAGCCTCCTGTACCGCTATTTCAAGATAAACTGTGCTCCAGGCTAAATCCATGGCTCTTGCCTGGATTTCCCCTCACTGCCCTCTTAGATTGGACCCACTGTGCCCTCTTGCCCTCTTGAATGGGGTTCATCCTCTTTTTGGAATTCCTTCCTAATTTTTCTAGAACATATCATCATGGCACTTCCTAAGGATTATGCTAGAGATAAGCCACCTGATTCCATGAATGCCTGAAAATGTCCTAATCTATTCGGTTTTCCAAGGAAACAGAAATCACTGTAAGTATTTAAACTGGGGGACTTAAATGGAGAAAATCAGTTGCATAAATAATGGAAGAAATGAGAACCAAACAAGGGTGAAAGGCAACACAGGCATTACAGACAGTGGACATTCACAGCCTTCCTTAGGCTTGAGGGACAAAGCAGGAGGCAATGTTAGCAGATCCCAGACATGGGCCAGGTCACCTAGAAGAAACTAGAGCCGCAAAGAAGACACAGCCACGGTCGGATTCGACTAGAGGCATGGGGATAGGAGACTCATACGCTGATTTCTTCATTCCTCCTGTATTTCATTGATTGAACCCGACCAGAAGCCAGTAAAACAGAGGCCTAGGAAATGCAGCACACATGACTAGTCCCCTGCAATGCAGAGAAGAGGAAGGGTGAGGAATCATCCCAGAGAAAACAGGCTGAAAGGAAGAAACAGTTTTTCTCCTCCTACTCACACACTCAACACAGAATGCTTCTGTGACCAGATGTGTGGAGGGTTTTCTTCCCACACCAAATGTCCAGTAGACACTGTAGGAGAGAAAACATTTTTTTCTTTCTCTTTTGGATTCTTAGCTGAGACACTCTCCTGAAAGTGTAGAAATCAGATTAACAAAAGAAAAACATGTAGAAATGTATTAACACATGTTGTACTCATCACACGGGAGAGGCCTCAGTTCAAGAGCATTTCTCTCACAAGGCAGTGGCTTGGCGCCATGCTTGAATAGCATTTTAACAAATAACCATAAATCTATATAGTGACTAGTCATAGTAGACAGCAGTTCCAGTCTTTTAAAAGGCATTCAAATATGGGCAAATAGTAAAACCTGTTCCCAGATTCCCCTGGTGCTTGTGGGTCCTTCTCTGAGTTAATAAGCAAGTATTGTCTCCAGTAAGGAAAGATTTATCCACTGGGCAAATAGAGGCTGGGACAGTGTTCCAACGCCTTTTCAGTGTCTTTAACTTAACAGTCTTCAATATTTGGGGGAGAAATATTTTAGTTTCCTTCAGACCCATTTTGAAACGTTACTTTCAGAAAGTTTTACATATGAAAATCTAAGTTGGTAGCTTTGGAGAGATTTGAGTTAGAGGTTTTGAGACAAGGGATTGGCAAGTAGGGAAAAAAACATGTAACCAGAAAAAAGAACAAGTTTGGGTACATTGTCCCATATCCTATTGAAATAATCTTTTAGTCCTGAGAACAGTCAGATTCAGTTGAACAGCTGTGTCTAATTCCAGGAGGTGATGTTGTAGGTGGGTTTTCATCACATTAGTTTTCTATGTGGTATAGGCAAACAAACATTTAGAAAGCAGTACTCCTATAGAAGCAAAAGAAAAACAAAGGTTAATGTCTGAAGCGGTCTACAAACTAGTCTGATTCTGGAGGGCAGTCAGCTGAGAAGATTTTTAGATTTGTGTTCAGAGTATCTTGTTGGAATGGAAGTAAACAAAGGTAATCTGACAGATTTTCTTGGATTGTAGTTTGTATGAGATGTTTCAGTGAACTTTCCATCTAAAAATAAATTATGTCATTTCTCTGAAGTTTATATCAAATTGTCTAACTTTAGCTTACATGGCTTTAGGAAAGGTGTAGTTTAAATTTCTAGTGATTTTTAAGACAGAAGAGTGGGAGAAAAATTAGAAATGCTAGTTTGGAGAGTTGTAGCCAAATATTGGAGAAAACTGAAAGTTCAGGATTTAGTCTAGATAATTAAACTCAAAAATGACAGGGCTAAAATCTAATGACAGATGTACTATAGTTTTCTTTTGAGTTATAACTTTTTACAATTATCCCCATTTTTACTAAAGATATTTATAATAAGACTAATTTAATTGTAAAACAAGTTGTAGTCTTATTCTACTTGGCCTGATTATTTGTGTAAAGTGGAACAAGAGTAGTAATTAGCTATCCAGGCTCTTTTTAAATCTGCTTTGCTGAAGCTTATCATAAGGAATCTCAGATAAGACCTTTAAAGGCCCCTCCAGGCTAGGAAGCCAAGCCATGAATTCACCATTTGATTTTACCTGTAGTACCTGGGTTAATTTTTTTGAGGTCCCCAAAATATTCTGGGGTTCCTTGGCCTGTCAGAAAGTGACATTTTTACTTACCCCAAGGCTAGAAACCTTGAAAGGGAATCGTGGAAACAAGGTCTCAGGAGGGTTCTTCTAAGAGCTTCAATGGCTCTTTAAAGTTGGCCTTAATTCCTTAAAGCAGTATGGTTATACTTGAAAATATGACATCCCAGTCAAAATGTTGGTAATGTAACCTGTGTTTCCAATTGTTCTGCAATGAAAAAAGCAAATATTTATTGAACTTATGCAAATAACTATATTGTCATAAAACAAAAATATTCACAGATAATTTCTAAATTCTGGAGAGATCAGGTAGAAAGAAAGGTAAATATTCTAAGTTTGTTCAAAAAGTATAATTTACCCAAATTTATAACTTTTTAAAATAGCTATAAATAGCTTTAAAAAATAAAAATAAGTTTCCTTGACTATGGAAAACAAACCATAAAAGGAATCGACAATGATTTAAGCCAAAAAGAAGTCACTAAAAAAATCATTTTGGTCTTTTGTTGGTTAAGTCTCATGTAATTAACTCTTGTTTTGCTCCACATTGGGTTAGTAATCTTTATGAAACCATTAGTTTCTTTCTGAAAGTTTTTACCTAGTCTAATGATATGATTTCTAAGCTTATTGAAAACTATCTTCAAGAGTACTTGCCATGACCCTTTCCTATGAATTTCCTTGAAGAAGAAGCAAATTTTAGAATGTAGCCAACTGTAAACTGCCTTTTGAGGAAAACAAAGTAAAACAATAATTGCCTGTAGATGAGAATAGACTTAGAATAGCTATAAAGATGCAATTGACAAGGAAATTTGGTTAATTCTGTGGCACATAATTTAACTTAACAATCAGAATTATAACTGATAACATATACCAAGACATATCATAATTTTTTTGTTTTAGAAAACTCATACTTTTGTGTTTGGGAAAACATATTAATAACATATTTATGCAAATATAACTCAAAGAAAGTTAAACATTATTTGTATTTGACAATGTCTCCTGTACAATTTAACATACCAAATAATCCTAATATGTCTCTTTTGACTTCAAAGGGCTCTTTTTTTGAATGTTCAAAAGTTAGTTTGAGGTCAAAAATATCTAATTTATAATTGGATATTTGATTTTAGGAAGCCTGTCAAATATATCAGAAGTTTAAAACACTTGATCAAAATAGGATTACAGGTTGCTGTGGAATAATAATCATTCATTTAGCCAAAGTGATAATTAAAAGGTTTCAGGGCGGGGCGCCGTGGCTCACGCCTGTAATCCCAGCACTTTGGGAGGCCAAGGCGGGCAGATCACAAGGTCAGGAGATCAAGACCATCCTGGCTAATACGGTGAAACCCGGTCTCTACTAAAAAATACAAAAAAAATTAGCAGGGCGTGGTGGCAGGCGCCTGTAGTCCCAGCTACTCCGGAGGCTGAGGCAGGAGAATGGCGTGAACCCGGGAGGCGGAGCTTGCAGTGAGCCAAGATCATGCCTCTGCACTCCAGCCTGGACGACAGAGCGAGACTCCGTCTCAAAAAAAAAAAAAAAAAAAAAAGATTTCAGAAAGTGAAAACCTTCACTCTTTGATAGAGAGGAGACTCAATTTTTTAAACAAAAGACCTAATGCAGACAGCATGAGGCAAACACTTCCCTCTTCTGTTTTTGCGGTTTACTCAAAAGGTGAACCTAACTTTTTTCTCATTAATATTATACATATATAAATCTTGTTCAAAAGAACCTAATTTCAGCTTTTTATCCGTATATTATTAAGTCTAATTTTAATAAAACCTTACAAACAAATTCATCTAATCTTTTGTTTTTGTTTTTGTTTTTGTTTTTCTTGAGACAGGGTCTCACTCTGTCACCCAGGCTGGAGTGCATTGGCACAATAAGGGCTCACTGCAGCCTCGACTTCCCCTCAAGAAATCCTCTCACCTCAGCCTGCCGAGTAGCTGGAACTACAAGCATGTACCACCATGCCTGGCTCGGTTTTTGTTGTTGTTGTTGTTGTTGTTTTGAGACAGAGACTCACTCTTGTCACCCAGGCTGGAGTACAATGGTGCAATCTCCGCTCACTGCAACCTCTGCCTCACGGGTGAAAGCAATTCTCCTGCCTAAGCCTCCCGAGTAGCTGGGATTACAGACGCCCACCACCATGCCTGGCTAATTTTTGTATTTTTAGTAGAGACAGGGTTTCACCATGTTGACCAGGCTGGTCTCGAACTCCTGACCTCAAGTGATCCACTCACCTTGGCCTCCCAAAGTCCTGGGATTACAGGCGTGAGCCAACACACCCTGCCTTGTTTTTTTATTTTTGGTAGAGACAGGGTTTCACCATGTTGCCCAGGCTGGTCTCAAACTCCTGGGATCAGTCTGCCCACCTTGGCCTCCCAAAGTGCTGGGATTATAGGCATGAGCCACCACACCCAACCCATCCAATTTTAATGGACATTAACCAGACAAGATAAGATGTCTATCAACTTTCTATAACCTCTTATAAATTTTTGATTCTCTTTCTTTCTTTAACTTTTTATATCCATGTAGTTTATTTATGTCATTTATATCTATTTTATTTATTTAACAATTATGTTTGAAAATTCGTATTACACAAATCTAGCTATCACCTCAAGTTAAATTTTTCATTAACCATTTGCATATGACTGCATGTTAGGCAAATATTATAAAATCAAGAACTTTAAAAGTTAAATACATGTATGTTTTGTTGATAACCCAGAAGACATAATTATCCTTATTAACCCAACAATACTAATCTAATCTCATTTACCAAATAATTTACCTAAGTCATATGAACTTAAAAAATATTTGAGATTTTTTGTTTTTTTGTTTGTTTCTGGTGGGTTTTTTTGTTGTTGTTGTTTTCTTTTCTTTTCTTTTTTGAGACAGAGTCTTGCTCTGTAGTGCAGGCTGGAGTGCAGTGGTGCAATCTCAGCTCACTGCAACCTCTGCCTCCTGAGTTCAAACAATTCTCATGCCTCAGCCTCCCCAGTAACTAGGACTACAGGCACACACCGCCACACCTGGCTAATTCTTGTATTTTTCATAGAGATGGGATTTCACCATGTTGGCCAGGCTGGTCTCAAACTCCTGACCTCGTGATCCACCCGCCTCGGCCTCCCAAAGTGCTGGGATTAGAGGCGTGAGCCACTGTGCCTGGCCAAACTTAAAAAATATCCGGGCCTATTTATTTAATTTATAATACTCATTGTATTAGTCAGAGTTCTCTAGAGGGACAGAACTAACAGGAGACTTCATATATATATGTGTGTGTGTGTGTGTGTGTGTGTGTGTGTGTGTGTGTGTGTGTATGTTATGTCTACACGTATGTATGTGTATACATATATTTGTATATTGTCTATATGGTACCAAATTAAGATAAATGAGTGCTTATCAATTAAAATAAGCCAAGATTTTTTTTAAGTTCAGCTGGGCATGGTGGCTCACTCCTGTAATCCAGCACTTTGGGAGGCCAAGGCACGCAGATCACTTGAGGTCAGGAGTTATATAAAGGGAGTGTTTATTAAGGAGAATTGACTGACACAATCACAAGCTAAAGTCCCACAATAGGCTGTCTGCAAGTTGAGGAGCAAAGAACCCAGTGGTGGATCAGTCCAAGTCCCAAAACCTTAAAAGTAGGGAAGCCCATAGTGCAGCCTTCAGTCTGTGGCCAAAGGCCAGAGAGCCCCTGGCAAACCACTGGTGTAAGTCCAAGAGTCCAAAAGCTGAAGAACTTGGAGTCTGATGTTTGAGGGCAGGAAGCATCCAGCACCGGAGAAAGACGAAGGCCAGAAGACGCAGCAAGTCTATTCCTACCACGTTCTTCTGCCTGCATTATCCTCACCATGCTGGCAGCTGACTAGATGGTGCCCACCCAGATTAAGAGTGGGTCTGCCTCTCCCAGTCCACTGACTTAAATGTTTATCTCCTTTGGCAACATCCTCTCAGACACACCAGGAACAATACTTTGCATCCTTCAATCCAATCGAGTTGATGCTCAATATTAACCATCACACATATGTGTGTACCTAAAAGCCAACGAGGTCAAGGAGTTCAATGTAAAAGACAGTGGAGCTTTAGACCTAAGATAAATCTCTCCACTCACAACTCTTGGGATTCTATGAGGAAAAACAGAAGTTCTCCTAAAAAAGAAGAGTCTGTGGAGCTCTTTCTGTTTTCTCAAGGGGTACCAGGGCTTTTAGAATCTTCTTTAGGTCCCCTCATGTGGCACAGAGGGTGGCAAGAGGAAAGAGGGACAGACAGAAGTAAATGGAAGAACAAGTCTTTGAGGCAAAAATTATATTAACAAGAGGAGAAACAGACAGAGGAAGCATATATGATTGGCAATGGTTTAAGAAGAAAGGAAGTTAGTCTACAGAGAAGCTTTTCTAGAGAGAGAACGGAGGCCTTAAGAATATATATGTATGCATATATAGTCTAAGTATCAGCTTTTAAGAAAGTCAACTTTTAACTATAGAGTTCCTTAAAAAGTCTTTTTATCAGATTTTAACTGGGCAAAGAGAAAACATTCCCATTTCTTAGCTTTTCCTTTCTTAAATTAACTCTTATTTTAAATTAGATCTCAGAAGGAATGCTGCTTAGCTAATTCCCTGGATGTTAACATTGCAAAGACATGGTAAGATTTACAACTCCAGGCCAGGCGCGGTGGCTCACACCTGTAATTCCAGCACTTTGGGAGGCCGAGGTGAGTGGATCACGAGGTCAGGAGATCGAGACCATCCTGGCTAACATGGTGAAACCCCGTCTCTACTAAAAATAAAAAAAAATTAGCCAGGTGTGGTGGCGGGCAGCTGTAGTCCCAGCTACTTGGGAGGCTGAGGCAGGAGAATGGCATGAACCTGGGAGGCGGAGCTTGCAGTGAGCCGAGATCGCGCCACGGCACTCCATCTTGGGTGACAGAGTGAGACTCCGTCTCAAAAAAAAAAAAAGAAAGAAAAAAAAAAGATTTACATCTCCAAGGAACTGAGGGGGCTTTCTTTAAAAAAGAAAAAAAAATGCTTTTAGACACAAAAGCCTAAATTCCCAAGGAATACTTGATTTAATTGTGACTTAAAACCGGTAAGCTTTTTATGGCTTATAACCAGACACAACAATTATGTCCCCAAAGAGGGTGGAAAAATTCAGTCTCTTTCAAGATCTCAAGTTTTTCCAAAGATGGCCTAAGAAAGTAAAGACCCTCATTATTAGCAAGGCAATGAAGGTTGAGACAATTAAGACAAATTCCCAAGAGCCAGCACATTTGGACAGACATTTTGGTCCCCCAGCTGGACTCTCAGCTGGCTGCCTGACAGAAGGCCAGGAACTTATGCTGGCAGAGTGGCAGAGACTAGAGAATAAATTTGCTGGTTGCAAAGCCACACTTCTCAAGAAATAAAAGAAGACAAAAGAAGAATTTTATTATGATTTTCCTCCTCATGACAAACCACACAAAGAGACAGAGACAAGGAAAACAAAGACCATAGTTAGAAAACTAAAAACCCCGATAACCAAGTGGTATTTGCCAGTTCTCCCAGGATTCTATCCATAGGTCCTGAATTGAGTGGAGTCGTTCCTGGACAAACAAGGTTTGGCTGCTTGTTCTCCTGGTCTAGTAACAAAAAGCAAACAGACTGGGTAAGAAGGGAGTTTATTTCTGCAACTGGTTACAGGGAGAAGATCAGGAAAACTCACCAGGCCAATTCAAAGTTACAGGTTTTGCTCCAATACTTATGTACATTTTAAGTTCTATGCCAACGTGTGGGAGTGCATTACAAGCAGGAGTGTTTCATTCAATCTACATCTAATCTTTAACTAGGGTTAAGGGAGGAGACCACCCCTCATATTTTCTTATGCCCAATTTCTGCCTCCAAAGAAAGAAGAAGTAAAAACTAAAAGGCAGAAATGAAATAAATCCACAAGCAGACAGCCCAGCGCCACACCCTGGGCCTGGTAGTTGAAGATCGACCCCTGATCTAATTGGTTATGTTATCTGTAGATTACAGACATTGTATAGAAAAGCACTGTGAAAATCCCTATCCTGTTTTGTTCCGATCTAATTACCAGTGCATGCAGCCCCCAGTCATGTACCCCCTGATTGCTCAATCGATCATGACACTCTCAAGTGGACCCCCTTAGGGTTGTGAGCCCTTAAAAGGGACAGGAATTGCTCACTCGGGGAGCTCGGCTCTTGAGACAGGAGTCTTGCCGATGCTCTGGGCCGAAAAAACCGCTTTCTTCTTTAATTCGGTGTCTGAGGGGTTTTGTCTGCGGCTTGTCCTGCTACATTTCTTGGTTCCCTGACCTGGAAGCAAGGTGATTAACGGAAGGTCGAGGCAGCCCCTTAGGCAGCTTAGGCCTGCCCTGTGGAGTATCCCTGCGGGGGACTCCAGCCAGCTTGAGCGACCGGGATCCTGAGCACGCTCCTGGGTAGGCAATTGCCCTGGTGGAATGCCTCGGCAGAGCAGCGCATGGCAGACCCCCGTGGAGGATCAACGCAGTGGCTGAACACTAGGAAGGAACAGGCACTTGGAGTCTGGACATCTGAAACGTGGTAAGACTAGTCTTTGGAACTTGCCCACTCCATTTGAGTGGAAACATGGCCTGATCACCCATGGCGTGCCTGTAACTGCACTTTGGTTTTTGTTTTTGACTTGACTTGGATTGCTTGATACTTTAGTTTTGGTTTTGACCTGGCTTGGATTTCTTGATACTCTGATTTTGGTTTTGATTCTGGTTTGGTGTAAACTGTAAAAGTGTGTGTGTGACCTTTTTACCCGTTCTTTGTTTTGTGGTGTCAGCGTGGTCTTTTGTGTCAATGAAACATGGGTCAGGCACAAAGTAAGCCCACCCCACTAGGAACTATGTTGAAAAATTTCAAAAAAGGATTTAAGGGAGACTATGGAGTCACCATGACACCAGGAAAACTTAGAACTTTGTGTGTGATAGACTGGCTAGCATTAGAGGTGGGTTGGCCATCAGAAGGAAGCCTGGACAGGTCCCTTGTCTCAAAAGTATGGCACAGGGTAACCTGTAAGCCAGGGTACCCAGATCACTTCCCCTATATAGATTCTTGGTTACAGCTAATTTTGGACCCCCCACGGTAATTAAGAGGACAGGCAGCAGCAGTACTAGTAGCAAAGGGACAGGTAGTTAAGGAAGGTTCTCGCTCCACCCGCCGAGGGAAGTCAGCACCAAAAGTCCTGTCTGACCCAACACCAGAAGAATCATGGCAGGAATTGGTACCAGCAGTACCCCCTCCTTATCAAGAGGAAGGGCTCCCCAACCCTGAGCCCACAGCACCTACACCTCCACCAGATAACCACAACCCTAGACCACCCAGAGCAGACAAATGAGGAAGTGAAGCCGCGGGAGAAATTCCTCCCTTGGCAGCTCGCTTACAGCCCAAGACTGGAATCCAAATGCCCCTGAGAGAGCAGCGATATACTGGGGTAGATGAGGACGGACACGTGGTGGAAAGGCATGCCTTTGTGTGTCAACCTTTCACCTCTGCTGACCTCCTCAATTGGAAAAATAATACTCCATCTTACACTGAAAGCCTCAAGCTTTAATTGACTTGCTCCAAACTATTATACAGACTCATAATCCTACTTGGGCTGATTGCCACCTGCTGCTTATGTGCCTCTTTAATACAGATGAAAGGTGAAGGGTGCTCTGGGTGGCAACTAAGTGGCTACAGGAGCACATCCCAGCCAATTACCAAAACCCCCAAGAATATATAAGAATTCAGCTGCCAGGAACAGACCCCCAGTGGGACCCAAACGAGGGACAAGATATGGAGAGGCTTAGGCGGTACCATGAAGCATTAATAGAAAGTCTAAAGAAAGGGGCTCAAAAGGCTACAAATGTAAATAAGGTCTCTGAGATCATCCAAGGAAAAGAGGAGAATCCGGCACAATTCTATGAAAGACTGTGTGAGGCTTACCATATATACACTCCTTTTGATCCAGATAGCCCTGAAAATCAGTGCATGATTAACATGGACTTAGTTAGTCAAAATGCAGAAGATATCAGGAGAAAATTGCAGAAACAGGCTGGGTTTGTGGGTATGAATACCTCACAGTTACTGGAAATAGCCAATCAAGCGTTTGTGAATAGAGATGCAACAAGCCCCAGAGAAAGCCGTAAGGAAGGCGAACACCAGGCTAGGCAAAACGCCGACTTACTGGCCATGGCCATTAGGGGAATTCCCCCAAAAGGAGAGGGAAAGGGGGGTTCCAGGAAGAATACCCAGTCTAATTGCCCACACTTGCAATGTAAGCAATGTGCCTATTGTAAGGAAATAGGACATTGAAAAGATTAGTGTCCCCAACTGAAGGAAAAGCAAGGTGATTCGGAACAAAAGACCTCAGATAAAGATGAGGGAGCTTTGTTCAATCTGGCTGAAGGGCTATTGGACTGAAGGGAACTAGGCTTAAGCGCCCCCAAGGAGCCCACAGTCAGGATTACAATTGGGGGCAAGGACATTAAGTTTTTGGTCGATACTGGTGCTGAACATTCAGTAGTGACCACCCCGGTCATCCCCTTCTTTATCCAACAAAACCATTGATATAATCGGAGCAACAGGAGTTTCCACTAAGCAAGCTTTCTGTCTACCATGGACCTGCTCGGTGGGGGGACATGAGATAGTTCACCAGTTCTTATAAATGTCTGACTGTCCCTTGCTTGGAAGAGACTAGCTTAGCAAGCTGAGAGCCACCATCTCTTTACAAAACAGGGCTCTTTACAGCTAAAGTTACCAGGAACAGGAGTTATCATGACCCTTACCATCCCCCGGGATGAAGAATGGAGACTTTTTCTAACCAAGCCAGGCCGCCAAGAGATAAAACCAGCTCTAGCTAAGCGATAGCCCCGAGTATGGGCAGAGGATAATCCTCAGGGACTGGAGGTCAACCAAGCCCCCATACTCATAGAAGTTAAGCCTGGGGCCCAACCAATTAGACAAAAGCAGTATCCGGTTCCCAGAGAAGCTCTCGAAGGAATCCAGGTTCATCTTAGGTGTTTGAAAGCCTATGGAATTATAGTTCCTTGACAGTCTCCATGGAACACCCCCCTCCTGCCTGTCCCTAAGCCAGGGACCAAGGACTACCGGCCAGTACAGGACTTGTGCTTGGTCAACCAAGCTACAGTGACTCTGCACCCAACAGTTCCTAACCCTTACACATTGTTAGGGCTGCTGGCCAGCTGAGGACAGCTGGTTTACCTGTCTGGACTTAAAAGATGCCTTCTTTAGCATCAGACTAGTTCCTGAGAGCCAGAAGCTGTTTGCCTTTCAGTGGAAAGATCCGGAGTCAGGTGTCACTACTCAGTACACTTGGACCCGGCTTCCCCGAGGGTTCAAGAACTCCCCTACTATCTTTGGGGAGGCCCTGGCTTGAGACCTGCAAAAGTTTCCTGCTAAAGACCTAAGCTGCATCTTGCTCCTGTATGTGGACAAACTTCTGCTGGGACACTCCACGGCAGTCGGGTGTGCAAAAGGGATGGATGCCCTGCTGTGGCAGCTGGAAGACTGTAGGTGTAAGGTGTCCAAGAAGAAAACTCAGATCTGCAGACAGCAGGTACGCTACCTGGGATTCACTATTTGGAAAGGGGAGCGCAGCCTGAGGTCAGAAAGAAAGCAGGTCATCTGCAGCCTACTGGAAGCTAGAACCAGAAGGCAAGCAAGGGAATTCCTAGGAGCTGTGGGGTTTTGCAGATTATGGATTCCAAACTTTGCAGTACTCACCAAACCTTTGTACGGGGTTACAAATGGGGGTGACCGGGAGCCTTTTGAATGGGGACCTCTACAACAGCAACCCTTTTGTAAGTTAAAGGAAAAACTTATGTCGGCCCCAGCCCTAGGACTACCAGATTTGACAAAGCCCTTTACACTCTATGTGTCAGAAAGAGAAAAAATGGCAGTTGGAGTTTTAACCCAGACTGTGAGGCCCTGGCCACCTATCTCTCCAAACAACTAGATGGGGTTTCCAAAGGCTGGCCACCATGTCTAAGGGCCTTGGCAACAACAGCCCTGTTACCACAAGAAGCAGATAAACTAACTCTTGGGCAAAACCTGAATATAAAGGCCTCCCATGCTGTGGTAACTTTGATGAATACCAAAGGACATCATTGGCTAACAAATGCTAGATTAACCAAGTACCAAAGCTTGCTATGTGAAAATCCCCGCAGAACTATTGAAGTCTGTAACACCCTAAATCCTACCACCCTGCTGCCAGTATCAGAGAGCCTGGTCAAGCATAACTGTGTAGAGGTGTTGGACTCAGTCTATTCTAGCAGACTTGACCTTCAGGACCAGCCATGGGCATCAGTAGACTGGGAGTTATACATGGATGGAAGCAGCTTCATCAATTCACAAGGAGAAAGATGTGCAGGATATGCGGTGGTAACTTTGGATGCTGTCATTGAAGCCAAACTGTTGCCACAGGGCACTTCAGCCCAGAGGGCTGAGCTCATTGCTTTAATTTGGGCTCTAGAACTCAGTGAAGGTAAGACTGTAAACATCTACACTAACTCTCAATATGCCTTTCTATCCCTCCAAGTGCATGCAGCATTATATAAGGAAAAAGGCCTGTTAAACTCTGGAGGAAAGGACATAAAATATCAACAAGAAATTCTACAATTATTAGAGACAGTGTGGAAACCTCAGAAGGTGGCAGTCAGGCACTGCAGGGGACACCAGGGAGCCTCCACCTCAGTGGCCTTAGGAAAGTCTTGAGCTGATCAGAAGCTTGAAAAGCAGCATCTACCCCTTACCAGGCATTGGTAGCAGCCCCCTTACTCCCTCAAATGCCTGACCTGGTACCTACCTCTTCTAAGGAAGAAAAAGAATTCTTCCACACAGAAGGGGGGCAAGTAATAAAAGGAGGATGGATCAGACTGCCAGATGAGAGGGTAGCTGTGCTGCAGTTGCTGGGAGCCACAGTCATATTGGCCATGCATGAAACCACTCATCTAGGGCAAGTGTCACTTGAAAAATTGTTAGGCCAGTACTTCTACATCTCACACTTGCTAGCCCCTGCCAAAGCAGTAGCACAACGGTGCATTACTTGCTGACAGCACAATGTGAGGCAAGGCCCCACTGTTCCACCCAGCATACAAGCTTATGGAGCAGCTCCTTTTGAGGATCTTCAGGTGGATTTCACAGAAATGCTGAAATGTGGAGGTAACAAGTATTTGCTGGTTCTTGTGTGTACTTACTCTAGGTGGGTGGAGGCTTATCCAACACAAACTGAAAAGGCCTATGAGGTAACCCGTGTGCTTCTCCAAGATCTTATTCCTAGGTTTGGACTGCCCTTATGAATCGGCTCAGATACTGGGCTGGCGATTGTGGCTGACTTGGTACAGAAGACAGCAAAGGCATTAGGAATCACTTGGAAGCTACAAGCCCCCTACCGACCTCAGAATTCCAGAAAGGTGGAGCGAATGAATTGGACTATCAAAAATAGTTTAAGGAAAGTATGTCAGGAAACAGGATTAAAGTGGATACCAGCCATTCCTACGGTATTGTTTAAAATTAGGTGCACTCCTTCTAAGAAAACAGGTTGGTCCCCTTATGAAATACTGTATCATAGGCCTCCTCCTATACTACGGGAGCTTCCAGGCACTCCCGGAGAGTTAGGTGAAATTGAATTACAGCGACAGCTACAGGCTTTAGGAAAAATTACACAAACAATCTCAACGGGTAAATGAGAGATGTCCCATCAGCTTATTCCCCCCAGTTCACCCTTTCTCTCCAGGTGATCGCGTGTGGATCAAGGACTGGAACGTAGCCCCTTTGTGGTCACAGTGGAAAGGACCTCAGACCATCATCCTGACCACCCCCACGGCTGTAAAGGTAGAAGGAATCCCAGCCTGGATCCTCCACAGCCATGTGAAACCTGCAGCTGATGAAACCTGGGAGGCAAAACCAAGCCCGGACAACTCCTGCAAAGTGACTCTGAGGAGGACAACAAGCCCTCTTCCAGTCACACCCGGAAGCTGACTGGTCTACGCACAGCCGAAACATGAGGAGAATCATCATAGGACTCATTTTCCTTATAATTTGGACTTGTATAGTAAAAACTTCCACTGATTTTCCCCACATGGAGGACTGCTCTCAGTGTATACATCAGGTTACCAAGGTAGGGCAACAAGTTAAAACAATCTTTCTGTTCTATAGTTACTATGAATGCCTAGGAACTTTAAAAGGAACATGTTTATATAATGACACTCAGTGCAAGGTATGTAGCCCAGGAAACGACTGACCAGATGTGTTTTATGACCCCTCTGAGCCTCCCATGTCCAGTTTTTGAAATAAGATTAAGGACTGAAGACTGGTGGGGACTCATAAATGATACAAGTAAAGTATTAGCCAGAAGAGAAGAAAAAGGGTGCCCAAATGCATAATCTTGAAATTTGATGCCTGTGCTGTCACTAATAGCAATAAGTTAGGCAGAGGATGTGGCTCTTTTAGTTGGGAAAAGGCTATATGACCGAAAATAAGTACATTTGTCATGAATTAGGACTGTGTGGAAATGAATGTGGATACTGGTCTTGTGTCACTTAGGCCACTTGGATAAAAAATGAAAAGGATCCAGTCCACCTTCAGAAAGGAAAAAATAGCCCTTCCTGTACTAAGGGACAATGTAACCCCTTAGAGCTTGTAATAACCAATCCCTTGATCCTCACTGGAAAAAAGGGGAGCATGTGACCTAAGGAATCGACGGGGCCGGACTGGATCCTCAAGTAAATATCTTGGTTTGAGGAGAAGTTTACAAACACTCTCCTGAGCCAGTGTTTCAAACTTTCCATGATGAACTAAATGTGCCAGTACCAGAAATTCCAGGAAAAACAAGAAACTTGTTTTTGCAATTACCTGAGCATGTAGCCCAGTCTCTCAATATCACTTCATGTTATGTATGTGGAGGAACTGTAATAGGAGATCAATGGCTATGGGAAGTCCGAGAATTAGTACCTGCAGACCCAGTTCCTGATGAATTCCTGGCTCAGAAGAATCACCCTGATAATTTCTGGGTCCTAAAGTCCTCAATTATTGGAAAATATTGCATAGCTAGAGAAGGAAAAGAATTCACTCACCCCGTAGGATGACTTAGTTGTCTAGGACAGAAACTGTATAATGGTACCACAGAAACAGTCACTTGGTGGGGTTCAAATCAAACAGAGAGGAATCCATCTAGTAAATTCCCAAGGTTGCAAACCATGTGGACCCACCTGGAGTACCACCAGGACTGGACAGCCCTCACTGGATTATACTGGATATGTGGGCATAGAGCTTACACCAAATTACCTGACCAGTAGGCAGGTAGTTGTGTTATTGGCACTATTAAAACATCTTTCTTCCTACTGCCCATAAAAACAGGCGAACTCCTGGGTTTCCCTGTCTATGCTTCCCGCGAAAAGAGAAGCATAGCTATAGGAAATTGGAAAGATGATGAATGGCCCCTTGAGAGAATCATACAATATTATGAGCCTGCTACTTGGGCACAAGATGGCTCATGGGGATACCAGACCCCCATTTACATGATCAACCAAATCATACGGTTACAAGCTGTCTTAGAAATAATCACTAATAAAACTGGCAGAGCCTTGACTATTCTGGCCCAGCAAGAAACTCAGATGAGAAGTGCTATCTATCAAAATAGATTGGCTCTCGACTACTTGCTAGCAGCAGAAGGAAGAGTCTGTGGGAAATTTAACCTTACTAATTGCTGTCTACCCATAGATGATCAAGGGCAAGTAGTTGAAGACCTAGTTAGAGATATGACAAAACTGACACATGTGCGCGTGCAAGTGTGGCATGGATTTGATCCTGGGGCCATGTTTGGAAAATGGTTCCCAGAGCTAGGAGGATGTAAAACTCTTATAATAAGAGTTATAATAGTAATAGGAACCTGCTTACTGCTCCCTTGTTTGCTACCTGTACCTCTTCAAATGATAAAAAGCTTCATTGCTACCTTAGTTGACCAAAATGCTTCAGCACAAGTGTACTATATGAATCACTATCAATCTATCTTGCAAGAAGACATGGGTAGTGAGAATGAAAGTGAGAACTCCCACTATTGAGTGAGATTCTCAAAGGGGGGGAGGAATAAGGGAGAAGACTACCCCTCATATTGTCTTATGCCCAATTTCTGCCTCCAGAGAAAGAAGAAGTAAAAACTAAAAGGCAGAAATGAAATCCACAAGCAGACATCCCAGCACCACACCCTGGGCCTGGTAGTTAAAGATCAACCCCTGACCTAATCAGTTATGTTATCTATAGATTACAGACATTGTATAGAAAAGCACTGTGAAAATCCCTGTTCTGTTTTGATCCAGTCTAATTACTGGTGCATGCAGCCCCCAGTCATGTACCCCCTGATTGCTCAATCGATCACAACCCTCTCAAGCAGACACCCTTAGAGCTGTGAGCCCTTAAAAGGGACAGGAATTGCTCACTCAGGGAGCTCGGCTCTTGAGACAGGAGTCTTGCCAATGCTCCCAGCCAAATAAACCCCTCCCTTCTTTAACTCCGTGTCTGAGGGGTTTTGTCTGCGGCTTGTCCTGCTACAGGGTCTGTGGTCTGGAAAGTTTTCTGTTGTTAGATATGAGTTCTAAATTTATTTTCAAAGAATCAATATGTCAGTATGTTCAATTCTTTACCTTCTACTTTTAAACTTAACTTCCTCATAAAGTAACCTTTTTCGATTACCTGCTCCACCCTGACTCCTTTCAATCACCTGCTCCACCCTGACTCATTCTGATTACCTGCTCTGTCATAACCATTTTTCCTGCCAAACCACTCACCCTGTCACACTATTTAAGTTAGCCAATCAAAATTAGTTTAGCCTGTGTGGTCTAACCCTATCCAATAGGGGAACAGCACAGCAGCAGGGGCCAAGCGCATCAAGGATGAGAACCCCTTCCCCTCCCTTGTCCAAGTGTGCATTCACCATTGTTCCATCTGTAAGGATGCACACTTCTATAGAATTATCTTGCCTTGCTGAGAATTAAAAAGAAAATTTTACATTCAGGTGCTATTTCTTTTGCAGCACTGAAACTTTATATATAACACTCTAGAGCTTTGGAAAGTTTCTTAGTCTTAAGTGGGCTATGGTACAAGGTGTATGTGTCAGAATGCTTTTATCGTTCAATCAGACTTCAGGGTCTGAGAAAACCCAGATGGGGTCTTAATGTGCTTGTTTTTTCATTACAGCCCTCATACTCAGGCATCAGTTTCTCCAGTTCTTTAATGTTTAACTTATGCAGTCATCAGAATTATAGTAAATGGTTAGTGGTAACTGGCCGCTCTGGTTGCTAATGGAAACCAGGCCTGCCACAGAGTTTCTCTGTTTCTCCTGGCTGGATTGCCAAATTGTAGGGGAGAAAACATAATTTTTTTTTTCTTTCCCTTTTTAGGTTCTTAGTTGAGACACTCTCCTGAAAACAAAAGTCAGATTAACAAAAGAAAAACAAGCAGAGGTTTATTAACCTCTGCTGTTAAAGAACCATAAATCCTGCATAGTGACAAGACAAAAAGGAGAGCAGTTCCAGTCTTTTAAAGAAAAGAAAATGTGAGAAGATAGTAAAATGTGTTCCTGATTCCTCTAGTACCTTCTGGTGCCTTCTCTGGGCTGATAAGCAAGTGCTGTCCCCAGTAAGGAAAGATCTGTGTCCTGCCATCAGGCAGATAGATGCTGATGCAGTGTTTTCCTTTAACTTAACAATTCTCAATATTTGGGGAGGAAATATTTTGCTTTCCTTCAATACCAACTGAGTGTCCTATAATTCAATTCAATTATGATACTGTCTCCCTGGAGACAGATACTTCTGACTGACGAGCTATAAATTGGGCTTCCCACAACCCTCCTTCCGTGGGTTTGATAACTTGCTAGGTGACTCACAGAACTCAGGGAAACACTTAACTGTTATATATAAAGTTTTGGTGCCGCAAAAGAAAATAGCACTCGAATATAAAATTCTTTTAATTCTCAGCAAGGCAAGGTACTTCTATAGAAGGGTGCACCCTTACAGATGGAGTAATGGTGAATGCACACTTGGACAAGGGAGGGGAAGGAGTTCTTATCCCTGACGCACATGGTTCCTGCTGCTGTGTCGTTCCCCTATTGGCTAGGGTTCGTCTGCCCAGGCTAAACTAATTCCAATTGGCTAATTTAAAGAGCGTGACGGGGGGAGTGGTTTGGCGTGAAAAATGGTTATGACAGAGCAGGTAATGGGAATGAGTCAGGGTGGAGTAGGTAATTGGAGTGAGTCAGGGTGGAACAGGAGATTGAAAGGAGTCAGGGTGGAGCAGGTAATCGAAAAACGTTGCTTTTTGAGGAAGTTAAGTTTAAAAGTAGAAGGTAAAGAATTGAAAATACTGACATATTGATTCTTTGAAAAAAAATTTAGAACTCATATCTAACAACCCCTCCCCTTGTATTTCCTTACAGCTTTCTTTTCAAATTTTTTTAACATATCTTGGCTTAGTTGTTTTGCTTGGTTTTTCAAAAGAAGAAGCTTCTCTGGATAAGGTGACGGATAGTTAAGGGAGGTTTTAGTAAGTGCCGTTTTTATAAGCCTCTGCATTGACCCATGGATGCATGGTATGACACAGTACCCGACAAGAATAAGTACACCCATTACGGCTATGAGGGAAGTAAGAATTGAGGCTATTACTCCTTTCCATTTACTGAACCACTTTTTTAGCCATCCTGTAAAGGGGTCATTTACCCCTGAGTTGTTGGCTAACTCATTGGATACAGCAGTCAGATCTAGCAATGCCTTTGTTATACCTCCATTAGGGACGGTATTGTTTGGGATGAAGATGCAACATTGAGTTTTAATCATGATGCAAACTCCTCCTCTGTCTACTAATATCATGTCTAAGGCTATCCTATTTTCCCAAGCCATCTGGCTAGCAGCCCTTAATTGTTCAGCTATTCCTTTAAGAGCAACTTTAGTGTAGTTAATAAATCACTGTTGGTTGTAGTAGATATAGTTTATCCAATCTACATTTTTATTAATTGTCACCTACCAAAATATTGACTTAAATCCTGTAGCTATTTGATTTCAGTCTTTAAATTCATCTGGTATTCCCCTTGGGATTCCAACTGTGTCTAAATAGACGTGAGAGTTGAAAGACCCATAAGGGGCTTCTCTAGCTTTACGATGTCTTATTTTTCCTTCCTCTGGTTGATGAAATGCCAGAGTGAAAGGGATAGCCAATTGGACTAAAGCACAAATAAAGCCACTCCAGTTGTTTGGCAGAGTGTTCAGTAAAGGTCCTCCACAATACCACCACACATCTGCTCGGGGACGAACAAACGCTGACTTATTGATAAGCTCTTGAAAATTCTTAAGCTTACTGCATCCCTTAAGGTCTCCAAAAAATGCTAAGTTTCCTCCCTGTCATGAGAGACATGAATTGAACTTAGTGTTGGGAGATGGAAGCTGGATGGCCCTCAGGGGCTGACCCGCGGGGTGCCAGACTTCAGGATATAGCAGAGAGAGAGCTTGGCATGACTTATTACTCCAGGCTGTAGAATCCTGGAAAAGAGCTATCATGCAGCCCACACCCAGTTGACTGGAGGACCACCCTGGTGGAAAGGAGACAATCTGGGCCTCTGGCCTGCCATGCGCACAAGCATAACAATTGCTTTTGTTTAACATGGGGGAAGGAATATTTGATCCATTCCAACCAGGCATTTGCATCTTGGTATCCTGTCTTAATTGCCAAAGTTTGTTTTCAGTCTTTAACTTTTATGATAGCTATCTTGGTCTTGTTGTTAGATGGAAGAAGAGCAATTGTTCCATTGTGAGAGGTTTTGGAAGAAGGCTTAGAGGAAGATGCAGTTGGTGGGGGATCAAAGAAACGAATCTAATAGGGTTTGTCTCTGAAACCTCAGCCCCCATACCATAAAACCGGCTTAAAGAAGGGAACCGGCTTAGAAAAGGGGAAGAACTTTGGGGGTTTGAGATAATAACCTGTATAGAATTACACTGGTTTAGCTGACAGTTAAGGGGAAGGGCTGTCCCTCTAGTAAAATGAATGTATGGTTTTAGGAAATTACAAAAACCGGTTGGGACAGTCCATTCTTGGTCTTTAGTGGTCCACAGAATGTTGGACCAACTATGGCATAAAAGCACTACATCAGGGAACAAGACTCCTGGTTGACACTGGGGTCTTTATTGAAATCTCCTCAGATTAAATGATCCTAATTCACTAATGCCCAGTCTGAGGAAAGTCAGGAGAGACAGAGGTACTTTTCTGAAGTAGAGAGCTGTCTTTGACCTGGCAAGTCCCCACAGCGTATAACAAGGCAAGCATTAAATGCAATAGTTTGAGGTGAAATTGACTTGGTTATGTTAATAACTAGATGGTCAGCAATAGAGCAAGGAAAGAAGAAAGAGTAATAGAATAGATGAAAGTGTTAAATTTTTCTTAGCTTTAATTTGGTAGGGTTTTCCCCTGGGACTATGGCCTACAACTCTGGAGGCAGTGGCACTTTCTTGACTCAGGTGTGATGAGTCCATCCCCTTTTCACTGTATGAACAGCAGTCTCGGTAGTTAGCAGCACAAGGTAGGGTCCTTCCCAGGCTAGCTCAAGTTTTCCTTCCTTCCACCCTTTGATGAGAACGTGATCTTCAAGCTGGTGTTAGTTTACTGGAAGTTCTAGGGGTGGTACCTGTGCTAAAAGACTTTTAGTTTTGAGGGAAAGGAAAGTGGAAGATAAACCAAGTATATAATTTCTAAGAAACTGACCTTTTGTTTTAAATGTGGGGACATCAGCAGTGGACTTTGTAGTCCTTGGTACCTTCTTACTGAGAAATTTCCTTTAGCACCTATTTTTATTAGTTTTTAGACTAAAAAAAGTCAAACACCATTTTATATTCGACAGTGGTTCCCGTATGATTTTTATACCAGATAAGCTAAATTTCAACTTTATATTAGTGTGTTATTAATGTTAAACTCAATTGTAATAAAACATTGTAGACATATTTATCTAATTTTAATGTCTGACCATAAGGTAAGTTTTTATAGACTCTTTTTAACCTTTTATATTTGTGTTAAGGAGCAGGTTAGTGCTTTAAGAAAAACCTGTTGTGCTTTTATTTTAATGTCCAGTTCACAGAAAAACTGGATGATATCTCTTTAACTTTAGCCAATATGTTTACACACAGAACTTCCTTTACAATTAACCTTTCAAAACTTGCTTAAACCTTTAAAACAAAAATTTTTTAACCTTTTGACATAGGTAAAAATCCACATTCTTATGCCTCCTTATAATCCTTTTACCAAAGGTATATTTTACTTTCCTTATACACCTTGCACATAAACTGTTTCTTCAATAGTTTTACATTCAGGAGGCCTAAATACTTTTAAATTATACAACATTTCTTGCATAAATTCCCTTTTATAATATTTTTTCACGACTTTTACAGACAATTCTTTGACATGCACCAACTTTCTGACTTGTTGCAAACATCCCTTTTTTTAAACAACCAGTTAATTTATTTTTAGGACAAGAATTTACCATATAACATTCCTTTTTACATACATTCTCCCCCTCCCCCCCACCTTTTGTTTTTTCTCAAAGATGATAAGCATTCTTTTCCAAAGCGAACTTTCTTCATTTCTGTGGACTATACTGTCTAAGGCCAAAAGATTAGAAGTTAGGATAATATATATTACACTGTTAACTTTTAGCAAACTTTACTTTTGTTGAAAACCTTGTAAGTTTGGGATTTCAATTATTGTTTGCTATTAATAAGACCTTGTTCAGTCCATATTAACTTAGTATTGATATAGATGGCTCCTTCCTGATTCTGTAAGTACTTTAAGGTTTGGATGAGTGCAAACAGCTTGCACGTTTGAGCAGCGCAATTATTAGGCAATTTTCCTAACTCTGCTTCTACAAGAATTTCCTTATCACTCACTGAATACCCATTGTGTCTTTTTCCCTCAATCGCCCGGAAGGAACCATCTATTGTCCTGTCCTGAAGGGAGTTTCTCCTAGGTCTGGTCAGACCTTTGTATGGTAATTAATTAAGATTTAGATCCCCTGGGCCTGGTGCAGTGGCTCATGCCTGTAATCCCAGCACTTTGGGAGGCGAGGCGGGTGGATCACGAGGTCAGGAGATCAAGACCATCCTGGCTAACACGGTGAAACCCCATCTCTACTAAAAATATAAAAAATTAGCTGGGCATGGTGGTGGGTGCCTGTAGTCCCAGCTACTTGGGAGGCTGAGGCAGAAGAATGGCATGAGCCCAGGAGGTGGAGCTTGCAGCGAGCCAAGATGATGCCACTGCACTCCAACCTGGGCGACAGAGTGAGACTCTGTCTCAAAAAAAAAAAAAAAGATTTAGATCCCCAGTTAGGAAACCTGCTGAGTTAAGGGAATTATCAGTGGTTAATGTTAAATCATCTTTTTCTAACAGAATAGCCCCATACTTTAAGATTTTGGGGTTAGTAAGCTACCTTTTTGCCTTTTTTTTTTTTTTTTTTTTTTTGACTTAGGATAGTTCTGAACTGGTGAGGTGTGCTCACAATGAAGTTTCCTCTAAAAGTTATTTTTCTACTTTCTTCTGCTAGGAAAGCAGATGCCACTACAGATTGAATGCATTTGGGCCATCCGTGGGTTGCTGGGTTAAGGATTTTTGATAGGAAGGCTATGGGTTGTCAGTGGCCTCAGTGCTTTCGGGCTATGCCCTTGTTTACACTGACAACAAGGTGGTATTGGAGTGTTACAGTGTCATGGAGAAGACCTTCAATTATCAATTATAGGTTTTAAATTTACCCAGGCTTTTAAAGGAATAGGGTACATTGTTTTCTCTTTACCACTTCTCTTTCTCTCTTCCTTTCTCTCTTTGACTTTCTGTGTCTTTCTCTCTCTCTCTATTTGACTCCCTCTTTGTCTCTCTGTCTCTTCCTCTCTCTTTCTGCCTTTTTCTCTTTCTTTTTCCTCTCTCTCTTTTCCCTCTCTCTCTCTCCCTTTCCTCTCTCTTAGTTCTGGGATTCTTTAACCCTGCTTCCCCATACTTTTTAGGGGGCCTGGTAGACAAGGACCTTGGTCCTCCTAATGGAGGCTGGAGTCCTTTAAAAGTTGGTTCGGAATCTTTATAGTTTCTGGCTCCCTGGAAACTCTGCCTAGAAGTACCTGGGTTTGGAGCCATCTGTTGGAAGGTGGAAGACAAGCTTTGTCTTTTGTTTCTGTTTTCCTTCATCCCTTTTCACGTATACTTTCTGAGCTTCCCTAAGAAGCTCACTTAGGGGATGGTCTTCCCAATTATCTATCTTTTTTAACTTTTTTGAAACGTCTGGCCAACTTTTAGTGACAAATTGGAGTTTCAATATTCCTTGCCCAAGGGGATCATCCAAATTGAGGCCTGCATATTGCCTCATTTGCTCCCTCAGTCTGTCTAGGAATCTCATAGGCCCTTCATCCTTTTCCTGTTGTATATCAAATGCTTTAGAAAGATTTCAGGTTCAGGGTACTGATTCCCGAATTCCTTTTATTATTATCTCCCTTAGGTCCTGCATATTTTCCCAGTGATCTGCATTGTCATTGTCCCACCAGGGGTCTTGGGAGGTGAATTTCTGGTCCATGGTAGGGACATTTATACCGGGAGGGTGCTCACATTCCCAAACTACCATAGCGGCCCTATGAATCATACTCCTTTCTTCTCCCTGAAAAGAGGATGCCTAAGATGGACATTAACTTGACCCAAGTGTATAACTGAGGGCCTAAGAATTGGTCAGTTTGGTATGCCACTCTGTAAGGGTTATCTAGTAGCAGTTTAAGCTCCTTTTTTAAAATTCCAGACTTCTGAACTGGTTAAGGGAGCATTTACAAAGCCAATGGCCCCCGCTTCTTGTAGTACCTCTTTCAAAGGGAAGAGGGTCGGGGCTGACCTCTTAGGTACGGAGGGGAATGGGAAATTCTGAATATCTTTTTTACATTGTTCTACCTGACGCTGGAGTCCTTTTAGAGAGGAGTCTTTAGGTTGGGAGGGGAACAGGCTGGTGGAACGGTAATTCCCAAGAGTCGGGGTTATAAGGAGGAGGGATAACGTGAGTAGAGGGAGAATTTGGAATGGGATCTGTGGTGGCAGTGGCTGTCTGAGGGGAAAGATTGGGGACACTGAGTGGGGGAAGGTAGCCTAGGGGATCCCATGTGCTGGAGTCTTTAGGCATGAAAGCTGGCTCCTCTGACTTTTCATTTTGAGATGCCAGATTGGGTTCTTCCCAATTTGTTTTTAAGGGAAAAAGGAGGGCAGGTCCTTGCCTCCAACAAAGAGCATAGCCTAGTTCTTCTTGAGACACTGGACTTTTATCATTAATATATCAGATTAGAAGCTGAGACATTACATCCTCATTCGACCTAAACTTTGGCTGAAAGATTGAGGGTTTAAGGATGGGTCCCTGAGTCCAAATAAAACAGCAATATTTTATCATTTGTTGCTTTTTCCTATGTTTAGTCCTTTCTTTATCCTTCCAGTGTTTTAGCATGAGACCTAGGGGGGTACCTGGGGTGATATCTTTGTTACCATCTTTATCCCCTTTGTTACCTGTCTTGCTTGGGGTGTTTCCCATCTTGATGGTTTTGGGGTAAGGTTCAAGGTTCAATTTCCCTTACTGGAAATTTCTTACCTTTTGGGGTGAGGCTCAATTTCCCCCACTGGAAATCTCTTGCCTTTTGGGGTGAGGCTCAACTTCCCCCACTGGAAATTTCTTGCCTTTTGGGGTAAGGCTCAACTTCCCCCACTGGAAATTTCTTGCCTTTTGGGGTGAGGCTCAATTTCCCCACTGGTAATTTCTTGGCCTTTCTACTACTAGAGGTTCGTGTGAGGTTCAATTCCCCCCAGTGGGGATGTCTCGCATCTTTTTAACCTCTAAACCACTCCAACCAAGGAGTACTTCACCCCCCCTCCACACCTCCTCGCCCCCTCCCCACCCCATGGCTTTCTTACCTTGGTCCAGACCACCAAGGAAATACTTTTTTTTTTTGTGAGACAGAGTCTTGCTCTGTCGCCCAGACTGGAGTGCAGTGGTGCGATCTTGGCTCACTGCAAGCTCTGCCTCCAGAGTTCACGCCATTCTCCTGCCTCAGCCTCCCGAGTAGCTGGGACTACAGGTGCCCACCACCACGCCCAGCTAATTTTTTGTATTTTTAGTAGAGACGGGGTTTCACCATGTTAGCCAGGATGGTCTCGATCTCCTGACCTCATTATCCACCCGCCTCGGCCTCCCAAAGTGCTGGGATTACAGGCGTGAGCCACCGCACCCAGCCCACCAAGGAAATACTTTACCAGCTCCCATGGCTTCTCCTTCCTTGGTCTGTGCACAGAGTTGTCGCCACAGTATGTGAGGATCCTTTAAGCTAGGTCGCTGGCCAGTTTTTTTTTTCCGCATTGCTGAGAGCTTGGGTTATTCCTCACACTGGGTGGGCCTTGATTTCTCACCCCTGAGGCCGCCACAAGGGGGCAGGGCACACCTCCTCACGAGAGAGAACCAGAGAGTGTCCCCAGAGGGGAATGTAATCATGGGCGAGCCCCCAAATTGTTATATATAAAGTTTCAGTGCCACAAAAGAAATAGCACTCGAATATAAAATTTTCTTTTAATTCTCAGCAAGGCAAGGTACTTCTATAGAAGGGTGCATCCTTACAGATGGAGCAATGGTGAGGGAACACTTGGACAAGGGAGGGGAAGGGGTGCTTATCCCTGATGCACGTGGCCCCTGCTGCTGTGTCGTTCCCCTACTGGCTAGGGTTAGACCACACAGGCTAAACCAATTCTGACTGGCAGAATTGGTGACAGGGTGAGTGGCAGAAGAAGTCAGAAACAATTCTGACTGGCAGAAGAGAGTGACAGGGTGAGTGGTTTGGTGGAAAATATGGTTATGACAGAGCAGGTAATCAGAATGAGTCGGGGTAGAGTAGGTAATTGGAATGAGTCAAGGTGGAGCAGGTAATGGGAATGAGTCAGGGTGGAGTAGGTAATTGGAATGAGTCAGGGTGTAGCAGCTGATTGAAAGGAGTCAGAGTGGAGCAGGTAATCAAAAAAGGTTGCTTTATGAGGAAGTTAAGTTTAAAAGTAGAAGGCAAAGAATTGAACATACTGGCATACTGATTCTTTGAAAAGAAATTTAGAACTCATATCCAACATAAGTTACATTTACTGGTCTGTTATAAAGGATATTATAAGGAATGCAGATGAACAGCCAGATGAAGAGATACATAGTGTGAGGTGTGGTGGGGCAAAGCTCTCACATCCTCTCTGGGTGTGCATCCTCCCTCACTAGCACCTGCAAGTGTTCAGCAACCTCCATGTGTTCCACAACAAGGAAGCCCATCAAGTCTTGCTCAAGAGTTTTTATAGAGCTTGATCTCCACCCTCCCCGACTCCTACCTGCATCTCTGCCCTTTCCAGAGAGTGGTAGGTAGAGCTGAAAGCTCTAACTCTCTAGTCCTCTTATCACTTGGTCTTTCCAGTGACTGGCCCTATCCCAACTAATCTCATTAGCATAAACTGAAGAGTCATCACAGGGGCTCATTAAGAGTAACAAAAGATACTCCTATCATTCAGGAAATTCCAAGTGTTTTAGGAGCTCTATGACAGGAATGTCGGACAAAGACCAAATAAGTATATTTCATATTATGCCACAGAGGCCAAAGACTGGCATGCCTGCTTGTATTCTTGCTTGTTATACAATTCTAGGTTCTCAATTCTATTCCTTGAAAGTTTTGAAGGCATTGCTCCACTGACTTTTAGCATCCTATGCTGTGGATAAGAAATCTGACATCAGTCTGATTCTTCTTCGGTTTTAGGTTGCTTGTCTTTTCTCTTGCCCATCAAACTACCAGAGAAAAGTGGAAATCCCAAGCTACCTTTTCCAAGCAAGACATAATTCCCATCAACATCCATTCCTTCTCATTCGCCCTCTACCCACACAGCCTATCACACTGCTTTGCCTCCAGAACAGAAAGAAGCTTGGAGCACCTCTAATTCCTGGGATTCCCAAGAGGATGCACTTGCTTATCCTTTGGCCACTAAACCACTCATATCCACATCAGAGCCTCCTCAGAGTAGGTATTTAATAAATATGTGTTGAGTAAATCTACTAGACGCCCCCAATCCTCAGGGAGGCATGTTCCAAGACTCCCAATGGATGCCTGAAACTGTGGATAGCACCAAACCCTGTATACAGAATGTTTTTACCTATACATACATATCTATGATAAACTTTTCATAGAGACAGTAAGAGATTAACAACAATAACCATTAATAAAAGAGGTCAATTATAACAATATGCCAGCTTAACTACTCTTGTGCTTTGGGGCCATTATAAAGTAAAATAAGGGTTACTTGAACACAAACACTGAGATACTGTGACAGTCAATTTGATAACCTAGACAGTTACTAAGTGACTAATGGGCAGGGGGCATTTACAGCATGAATACGCTGGAAGATTCATGTCTCAGGCAAGACAGAGTAGGAAAGCTTGAGATGTCATCATGCTACCCAAAATGCACCCAATTTGAAACTTATGAATTGTTGCCAAGTGCAGTGCCATGCACCTGTAGTCCCAGCTACTTGAGAGGCTGAGGTGGGAAGATGACTTGAGGCCAACAGTTTGAGGCTGTAGTGTGCTACGATCACACCTGTGAATCCCCCTGCACTCCAGCCTGAGCAATGTAGCAACACCCCATCTTTTAAAAAGAAAAATAAAAGTATAAAGTGTTGATTTCTATAATTTTCCATGTAATATTTTTAGACTGTGGTTGACCTCAGGTAACTGTAACCTTAGAAAGTGAATCCACAGATAAACAAGGAATACTGTAAATGAAACTACAGTACTTGGAGCTAAAAGACCCTCTGGGCTCTTACCTCTCTCCCTTGTTTATCCAGATACAACCCGAAACCCAAACTCCCCAGGTTCTCTATTACCATAGTTCTATGGCTACCTTAATCTGATTAATTTTCCACCCTTCCCAAGTCTTCCACCATGACCCCTGGGACTCAACTGTAAAATTCCTTCCTCTTTCTACAACCCCAGTAACATTTCAGTGCAGGGGTCAGTCATTCCCTCCTTAGTTATGTCATCTACCACCCATGCCATCCCTACTACCATCCCTCTCCTTATTGATGATTCTATAGTAATACCTGCTGTATTGCTGCTGTGACAAATTATGACACACTTATTGACTTAAAACAATATAAAGGTATTATCTTACAGTTCTGGAGTCTAAAATGGTTTCAGCCAGGCCATGTTCTGGAGGAGAAGAATCATTTCTGTGCCTTTCTAGCTCCTAGAGGCTGCCCATATTCCTTGACCCAAGACCCCACATCACTCCAACCTCTGCCTCCAGGGTCACATCTCCTTCTCTGACTCTAACCCTATTGCCTCACTCTTATTAAGACCCTTGTGATTAAATTCCCTCTCCTCCTTCCAGGTAAAGCCAGGATAAACTTCCCATCTGAAAATCTTTAACTTAATCACATATGCAAAGTCCCTTTTGCTGTGTAAAGTAACATTCTCAAGTCCTGAGGATTACAACATCTTTAGGGGACCAATATTGTGCTTACCACGCCCAGCTTTTCCTTCCACCCTGGCAGTGTCACCATTCTCTGCTTGAAGATCCTTCCAACACCTAGACCTCTCAGCTATTTGTTCTGTATAATTATCTCTTCCTCTATTGTACCTCACTCACCTATCCCTTGGTCATACCCAAGATCTTGCCATTACCAACAACTACACTTCTTCCAAAATCTGAATTTCAGACATCTAATTTTTGTTTTTACTGCAACCTCATTTCATTGAAATCACCAGCTCAAGCAATTATACAAATTTGAAAATGTCCAATCCACCCACCAAACCAGCTTTTACTTTCTCTCATCCTTCTCCCCTCCATTCTGACCCAGACTAGACCTGTGGTCCATCATTGTAATTCCTCCCTTGAAAATCCTTAATTTGGTGGCCCTTTTTGCCCACCAATGCACACACCTAAAAAAGCCCTGTCCCTGGTTAAATAAATAAAGCCATTTAAATTCTTGTAGAGGTGGACAACAGGGGAAGGGCAAGCCTCTGAGACCATCTTAGAAGAGTACACAATATAATAAATGCAAAGTGACCAATGTACTAGTAATGTCTGCCCAGAGTGGAACTCAATCACCCATAACTATGATTAAACTACTCTTTTGGCCTACTTGCGGTACTATTGCTAAAATGGTGTAACCTAATAGCTAACAAACTCATCATTATTATCCTTTTTATTTTTTGTAGAGATGGGGTCTCATTATGTTGCCCAGACTGGCCTTGAACTCCTGGCCTCAAGCAATCCTCCTGCCTCAGCCTCCTGACTATCTAGGGTTAAGGGCATGAGTCACTGCACGCAGCTACTACTATCCATCTTTTAAAGATACTTGCAGGCTGGGCGTGGTGGCTCACGCCTGTAATCCCAGCACTTTGGGAGCCCAAGGTGGGTGGATCACCTGAGGTCAGGAGTTCAAGACCAGCCTGGCCAACATGGTGAAACCTCATCTCTACCAAAAATATAAAAATTAGCCAGTCATGGTGGCAGGCACCTGCAGTCCCACCTACTCAGAAGGCTGAGGCAGGAGAATCACTTGAACCCAGGAGGCAGAGGTTGCAGTGAGCCAACATCGTACCACTGCACTCCAGCTTGGGCTACAGAGCCAGACTCTGTTTCAAAAAAAAAAAAAAAAAAAAAAAAAAAAAAGATCCATGCAGTTCCCACACTTGTGCATCTCTGATCATGTGGCTCAGAACTGAAATGTCCAGATGACAGTGCTTTATTACAAGCACACCCACCATTCCAGTAAATCTAAAGAAGTCTAGTGCTAAAATATATGAAATTTTTTAACTAAAAAGATTTTCATTTTTTTTAAATTATCAGTGTGCTTGACACTTAAAACCGACATATAAGGTAATATAAAATGAGTGCTTTCCACCCATAAGCATTTATGTACTAAAAAGATAAGCAAGGCAAGATGTAAAACATAGAAGTTAAAAATGAAAATAGTGTTGGGGCTGCTATTTGACAAGAACATTTTCAAACATGGCAGGTGAACTTCAACAGGGACTGATACCAAATAATTCACTCTGAAAATAAATATATAATCTATATTTACAGAGTAATGAGCTCAGAACCATCTGTTATAAACCAGTAAGGAAGACATTATAAACTACTGAAATGAGACACTAATTCAATATGATAGAGGGTGGAAAAAGTGAGACATTAACAAAAGCAGACTACAAATAGAATATAAGAAGGTATCCTAGACCACATAGTATCTATAATGTATAAAGATCTATTTTATTCACCTCAAGAAAGATAATTGAATTTATAAAAAGAAAAAACAGAGAGAGGGGTAACTAAAAATCATGAAATGAGACTCTGGTTGTTTAACTCTGAATACCAATAATAAAAGTAATAAATATTAGCAATTATCATGCACGTACTGTATTTAGAAATCTAATCCATGTTATTTCATGTAATCATCATAGGAATCTCATGAGACACATGTTACAGTCTTCATCTTATAGATGATGCATTAGTCTGCTCAGGCCGCTGTAACAAAATACCACAGACTGGGTGATTTAAACAATATACATTTATTTTTCTCACAGTTTGGGAAGCTAGAAGTCCAAGATCAAGGTGCCAGCCAGGTTGGTTCCTGGTGAAAGGTCTTTTCCTGTCTTATAGAAGGCCAACTTCTCACTGTGTCTTCACATGGCAGAGACAGAGAGAGATCTCTGGTTTCTCTTCATCTTCTGATAAGGACACCAGTTCTATTGGATCAACCCCCAACCTTATGATCTCCTTTAACCTTAATTCTATCCTTGGAGACCCCATCTCCAAATTCAGTCACATTGGGGGTTAAGGTTTCAATATATGAGTTGTCTGGGGGACACAATTCAGTCCACAACAGATGAGAAACTTGAGATCTACTCCTCTACCCTACCCTGGTCCCTGGGAGGCTGACCCCTGGGAACTGTATTGTCCTAGCTCCTTCTGTGTTAGAGTTGGGTTCAGCCATCAGGAGGAAATTAGAGGGTGAGAGGTTGAGATATTTATCCCTTTGGTTCCCATCCTGCCATGCCATGGTTGAATGGTGGCTATGGCACCTGTTTGGTGATCCTTCTCCTATACCTCCAATCCCTGCCAGGATCCACTAACTGTTCCCACCCATTGTTCCTCTAGGACCAACATGGTAACGGCTTCCCACTGCTGCTAATTCCAGGGTGCTTTACTATCCGTTCTGTTTCTGTTATCCCAGCATACACATTTGTCAATAGTGATTGTGTTAGACATTCTTCAATCGCCTCTTTTTGATGTACCATCTGTTTCCTACCAGATGCTAATAAAATAAGTGGTACCCAGGAGAAAAACCTTCAAAATAGGATTCTAAAATTGCTCACACATTTGATTAGAGGACAGATCACCTCTTTTGCAGACATGTGGTGCCATCATAATTACCCAAATTGTTACTGGTAGTGACAAGGGATGAAGTGTAGGTCCAGAGAAATTAATTGGGAGATAATTGTGGCATCTAGTTGCCAAGGCAAAAAGGTGGCACCTGTTTGGTAAGGCAGCAGAGGTCATGAGTACATGGCCAAGGAAAACCAAGTGACTTCAGGACCCAGGATCATAAACTGGGTGTTGCCTGATCCTCCAAATCAATAAGATTGGACATTCTCAACATTATTCCTTTGTTAACGGAAACAGTATTTACAGGAACAGTCTCAAGCAGGTTTTGAGGACGCAAATAACTGCTTGGGTAAATGCCTGAGACTCTCATGGTATCTTTTGTTCCTGCTTTGCCACCTTTTTCTCAACCCAAATCTATGATTTCATGGACCTTTTTCTATTACCAGTTAACCTAAGAGCATAAGCATGGGCCTAACCTATAGTTGGGTCTGCATGTTGCTATATTACAGCCCTAACTCAGGGACAGCCTTGAAAGACAGTGATGAAAATAAGTCTTCCCAGTGGGGAAGAAAGAGCTTAGGAGAAAAGACCATTTGAAAGTTCAATTTGCACTAAAGGAGATAGGGACTAAAATACAGGTCTACACTGACTCTTGGACAGTGGCTACAAGATTGGCCAACTGGTAAGAATTTGAAAAAACAAGATTGGCATTAGGTGATCTGGGAGAGAGGTATAAATGGACTTATAAAAACTGGCTCAGAATATGGACATATTTAAGTACCATGTGTATGCCTACTAGAGGACTCTCTCAATAATCAGGTTGATGTGATGTCTTACTGTATCGGTGGTTTTCAAGATGAACTCCAGATTTGAAGATTCACTAGAAGGACTCACAGGATTCGGAAGCCATTATAGTCACAGGTATAGTTTCTACGCAAAAAAAGATACAAAACAGGGCCAGGTGCTGTGGCTCATGCCTGTAATCCCAGCACTTTGGGAGGCCAAGGCAGGTGGATCACAAGGTCAGGAGTTCGAGACCATCCTGGCCAACATGGTGACACCCTATCTCTACTAAAAATACAAAAATGAGCTGGGCGTGGTGGTGCACACCTGTAGTCCCAGCTACTCAGGAGGCTGAGGCAGGAGAATCGCTTGAACTCAGGAGGCAGAGGTTGCAGTGAGCCGAGATCATGCCATTGCACTACAGCCTGGTGACAGAGTGAGACTCCGTGTAAAAAAAAAAAAAAGATACAAAACAGGATCAATAAAGAAAAAAATCCCTCCCTACATAGTTCAGAGTTAGGGTTGGCTGCAAGAGAAACTTGATAAGACTTAGGAGGCAGAAGGAAGGCTGAGTAGGTGATGCTCACCATTGATCATCATTGATCAAGGGCCATAAGGGAAAGACTCAGAGGTGCTAGTGGTTTCCAAGTCATCCCTGCCTGTTCTCGCTCCACATCCAGCTCACCTTCCTGTCAACCTTGATAGCACCAAGTCTTGTCAGTGAATTTTCTCTGATGCATTTTGGATCTTTACTTCCTCAGATCCTGCCACAATTACATAAGGTTTTATTTCTCTCATGTATTCCTTATTTCATAATATTAATAGTCCAAATTCTCTGATTAAATCAAAGCTGATACAGGGATTGTGTTTCCTGACTTTCCAGTTCTTGACTTAAGTCTTTATGGTACCCAGCTGTACTTCCTACCCTTGGAGTTTGAGATATTTCCCAGTAATAAGTGCTTTCTAATCCATTTCAGATTCCAGGCTATAATTTGGTTTCAAATATGCTAGATAGAGATGTCCTCAGATATGTTAGATAGAGATGTCCTAATGTAGTTAGAAATATGATACTGGGGCCAGGCACGGTGGCTCATGCCTGTAATTCCAGCACTTTGGGAGGCCAAGGTGGGCAGATCACCTGGAGTTCAGGAGTTCGAGACCAGCCTGACCAACATGGAGAAACCCCGTCTCTACTAAAAATACAAAAATTAGCTGGGCGTGGTGACACATGCCTGTAACCCTCCCTACTCAGAAAGCTGAGGCAGGAGAGTTGTTTGAACCCAGGAGGTGGAGGTTGCGGTGAGGCGAGATCAGGCCATTGCACTCTAGCCTGGGCAACAAGAACAAAACTCCATCTCAAAAGAAAGAAAAAGGAAAGGAAAGGAAAAGGAAAAGAAAAGGTGATACTGAAGCACAAGGGATATAGTTATGGAATATTTATCAAGAGGTTTTAGGACCCAAGGGAAGATTCTTCCTTCACCCTCTGAAGTTTTGCCGAAAAATAAGATGACAAAAGGCAGATTAATAAAGAGAAAAGACACACAAGTCTGTTAACACGTATGGGGGAAATCACAGAGTGATAACCCCAACCCCACAATGGGGTACAAAAGCTTATACATCATCTCCAGGTTACAGAAAGAATGGGGGCTCAGGGTATGGCCAAAAAGAGATTACGGTGGTAAGTCAGGTTACAGCGGCAAGACAGGTTATGGGAGAGAGAGAAGAGGAGGGTTGGCTAGCAACAGCGATCCTGTTATGCAGATGTAACTTCATAGGTAGTAGCCTTCAGAGAGAAAGATGGTAAATGTTTCTTTCAGACCTTTATGGTGCCGGACTCTCAGTCTTTCCTAGATCAGACAAGAGAAGACCTTCGGAGAATGCAGGACTTTATCAATGCAGACTTTTTCTACAAATGCTAATCTCTCCCACAAAAGACAGCTTTTTAGCTATTATTTTATTTCCAGCCTTTCTGAATAGTCATCTTGAACAATGTCAAGAAAATATATTTGGGGGTGAAATATTTTCATTTCCTTCAAGATCACAAAATCACCTCAAATAACAACTCACTGATAGAGTCATAGAGGGTAACACCAAAAATTTTTCTGATGAGCCTGATATCAGAGTGAATCACAGAAATCCTGTATTCTAGGCCAGTGCTCCTCAGCCTTTTTTTATTATTGCTTCCCTAGGAATTCATTTCAGATGCTTTTGCCTGATTCCCTCCCCCATGACATCTTAATGTCATAGCTTTACTAGCACATGTGCTGTCTGCATATCCATGCATTATATATTAAAAGAGAGATTTTTTTTAATCCCTCAAGCACCAGCTTTTGCCTCCATCGCATGTTCTAGACCCAGATCTACCATTTACCTTGCTATGTTTTTGATATAGTTTGTATATTTGTCCCCACCCAAATCTCATGTTGAACTATAATTCCCGTTATTGGAGGAGGGGCCTGGACAGAAGTGACTGGATCATGGGAGTGGATTTCTCTTGAATGGATTAGCACTATCCCCTTGGTGCTGTCCTTGAGATAGTGAGTTCTCAGGAGATCTGGTCATTTAAAAGTGTTTGGCCCTTCCCCGCCAACTCTCTCTCTCTTGCTCTTCCTTTTGCCATGTGATGTACCTGCCCCTCTTTGCCTTCTGCCATGATTGGAAGCTTCCTGAAGCCTCCCCAGAATCAGATGCCACTATGCTTCCTGTATAGCCTGCAGAATCATGGGCCAATTAAACCTCTTTTCTTATAAAATACCCAGCCTCGGGTATTTCTTTATAGCAGTGCAAGAACAACCTAATACCTTTTTCTTAAGAAAAGCTACTACAATTTCTGAGTGTTGGTTTCCTCTTGGAAGACTGACCAGAAAGCATGACACTAGTCTCAATTTTCTGCCAATATCTGTCCCTCCACAGATACTACCCCACTAATGACCTTGTCCTTTGGCCCACTTACAGCATTTAGTTGCACATATGTGAGGGGTATATATTGTCAGTTAGGTGAATGCAAAATTGAGCTACATTTTTCTTTAAACTGCCATCGATGTCATTTTCAAGGCCCCAGTCAGTTTAGAGCAGACAGCCTATTTATTCCATTTTGCAAGCTCAGAACAGTCTGACAATTTGTCTGTCAGTTTCAGGATTTATTACCATCAGTCACATTGGAGTTCAAAGTCCTTTCTCCTCTCCTGGGCCACAACTGGATTAGAAACATTTACATTAAACAGGAGGGGAAAAAGTGTAGCTTCTCTGTCCTTCCACTCTACCTCTTAGTCATTGCATTGTCATGCAGCTGCCGTTCAGCAAAATCTAAAGGGAGTAGTCCCCATGGCTTCATTGTCTTTCTGTGGCTGGCAGGATATAACTTTTGAAGTTGGCACAGTTTGATCTCTCACCCAAGCAGAGTCAAATGGCTCTGCCTTGTCATACACTAAATGGTCTGTTGGTGCCCATCTGGGCATCTCACCCACACATACTTCTAGTGTCGCCTCACTACTGAGCAGCATCTCGAAGGGTGCAAACAAGCAGGTGCGTGCTCACAATCACATTCTTGTGTTTATCTAGACCTTAGGGATTCCAAGGGAAAACAAGGCCAAGATGGGGAAGATCTTGTAACTTTCCTACCTGCTCTGTTGTCTGCCACTTAGCAACCACATGAGAAGCAGGTGCCAATTGGTCCCTACATTCAGAAACATCTGCAACCTTTCAGGAAGAAGCACCTTCCCTTTGTTGGGAGACTCCATCAGGGAGGGCAGAGGTTAAAGCCCCAGCAAACTCCCTTTCCAACTCTGTTTCATTCATACCACATCTTCTGATGGGAAAGCATAGTAGGGCAAGGTGAGAGCATTTATTTTAACTGAAAGTAAATAAAATATTTTATCTTTTGTCCTGGCTCTGAGTTTTCTCCACTATAATGCAGCATATCTCACTTAGCCAGCAAGTGGAGAATAAGGAATTCATCAGCAGACTGTAATAAAAACCGTGACATATATATAGTATTGGAATTTACGAATCATGTCTTTTCCTTTTTATTTACTTATTTATTCTTTTATTTTTTATTTTTTATTTTTTTGAAGTGGAGTCTCGCTCTGTTGCCCAGGCTGGAATGCAGTGGCACGATCTCGGCTCACTGCAAGCTCCACCTCCTGGGTTCATGCCATTCTCCTGCCTCAGCCTCCCGAGCAGCTGGGACTACAGGTGCCCACCGCCATGCTCTGCTAATTTTTTTTTTTTTTTTTTTTTTTTTTGGTATTTTTAGTAGAGACGGGGTTTCACCATGTTAGCCAGGATGGTCTCAATCTCCTGACCTTGTGATCTACCCGCCTCGGCCTCCCAAAGTGCTGGGATTACAGGCGTGAGCCACCACACACAGCCTACTTATTTATTTTTAAAGACAGCATCACCCTATGTTGCCCAGGCCGGCCTTAAGCTCCTGGGCTACCTCCCCAGTAACTGGGACTACATGCATGTGCCACCATTCCCGGCTTGTCCTTTTCTCTATCCTACACTCTAAGAACTTAGAAGCAGAGAACTTAACAATTAAACACTTCAAACTAAGTTTTATGTATCTACTTCCCCTCACTTGTATCTCTCCCTGTATCCTATTGCTAAATTAATGATAAAATTATCCACCCAGTTCAGAAGGATTACTCAGGGAGCCTTCCTCATTCTTATCAGCTATATTTGACCGACCATTCAATCCTGCAAACTCCACTTCAGCAATATATCTCTGTCATAAACCCCTCTGTGTCTTTCTACTGGCTTAATTCCAGCCTTTATTGCCTTTTGGTTGAACAACTACAATAAATTCCTAATTGGTCTCCTGGTCCATGGAACCTCTCCCTTCCTACACTGCCACAAGAGCATATATTTCCCAATGATATGACCAGATTCCTCCCCTGCTTCAAAATATTTGACCCCTGTGGAAACAACAATACAAGCCCTTTACTTGAGAAAGGAAAATATGAAATCAGACATTTTTCTTCCAATATGGAGAGAATAAGCTTTAATAGGAATCTTGAAGAAAGCTTGAGTCATTGACTTCAAGATCTTTATTCTGGTACTGTGTTGTAAATCCTTTCTCTTTGCTGATAACAGAAGCTCTAGAAAAAAAGACTATCACTGAAGGAGCCAAACAGAAAACCTATTTGCTAGCTAATAAAATTGGGCATAGATCAAAATAAAAATTAAACTGATCATGCTTGATCTGTTCAGTTTCGTGAGATTTCTCTAGTGTTTTCCTGCCATTTTCAGCGTAAAGAGATAAGAATTGTGTTGCTGCCAGACTCTTTTATTATCCACATAGAAGGCAAGTCTTTATATTTGTCAAGGTTTACATGATTAGGAATCATAAATCACAATTAACTACTGCTTAGGAGATAAAGGTTCATGAATTTTGCATGTTGTTAATCACCTTATCACCCTTTCAGGGTTTTAATCTGCTCTTTCTTCATGGTATTAAGTTATCACATTATATTTTTTCTATGTTCTGTCTCTACCAGAAAGTAAAGCCACAGAGCAAGGACTTTATTTTGTTAAAATAGTGGTAGCACACACGGGTTTAATTCATTTGCTGTTTTTTTGTTTTTGTTTTTTTGGTTTCTTTTTTTTTTGAGACTGAGTCTCCCTCTATCGCCCAGGCTGGAGTGCAGTTGCGGGATCTGGGCTCACTGGAACCTCCGCCTCCTGGGTTCAAGTGATTCTCCTGCCTTAGCTTCCCAAGTAGCTTAGATTACAGGCACCAATCACGCCTGGCAAATTTTTGTATTTTTAGTAGAGACAGGGTTTCCCCACGTTGGCCAGGCTGGTCTCGAACTCCTAACCTCAAGTGATCCACCCGCCGCGGCCTCCCAAAGTACTGGGATTACAGGCTTGAGCCACCACGCCCGGCTGATTCATTTGTATATATTTCTAGAACAGAGCTTGGTACGAAGTTGAGCATTCAGTAAATATCTGTTGAAATAGAGGGAGAGTGAAAAAGAAAGTAACTCTCTCGCGTATTCCACAACTAGCTCTTCACCTATCAAATTACGCGCAATGGAAACATCTTAGTCCTCAGAGCAATCCTGGGTGCAAGGCAGAGGCGGCTGTTATCAGGCCTATTACACAGGTTTAGGGTGAAACTTGAAAATGTGGGCGGGAAAGTCACAAAGCAATGAAAAAACCATCTAGAAAAAATCTTTTCTGGATGTCACCATCTAACATTTGGCATGAGACCCCAGAAACCGGATGACTCGGCTCAGAAGCAGACACATTTGAAAAGATATTTATCTCACGATAAATTAAGGGACAAAAAGGCCTTCAAAAAGGAACGGAATAAACGGAATAATTTTTAACTCTAACATTACTTTCTTTCAATTTTTACATAATTCTTATAGCTGCGGCGAGTGAAACGACTAAAACAAAAGCAAAACAGAGCTCCACTGCCCAAAACAAAGATGGCCGAGACGACTCCCATGCCCACACGCAAAATGGACGCTGACTATGACGTTCCCTGCAACAATCCTCAACTGGCCCCGCCCCACCAATTTGGAACCCCGCCTCCTCAACCCGGAACCCCGCCTCCCCCAGTGTGGCCGCTTTTCCGACAGAGGCCTGCCCGTGATTGGCTGCTCGTACTATTTACGTCCTTTCGATGTTGCGTCATGCAGTGCGCCGGAGGAACTGTGCTCTTTGAGGCCGACGCTAGGGGCCCGGAAGGGAAACTGCGAGGCGAAGGTGACCGGGGACCGAGGTACTGCTCCGGCTGGCCGGCGGGCGCCCGGGATCCCCGGTGGTCCTGACAGCCGCCCTCACGGGACCGCTGGGTGCGGGGGGAAGGGCTGGAAGCAGCGGTGCTGCTGGCTGCGTCAGGGCCGGCCTGCGCGTTGGGGTCGCAGTCCTGTGGGTGACCTGGTGGAGAGGGCGGCGGCACAAGGCCCTGGTCAGGCGGGCAAGGGCTCAGTGTAGCTGTGCTTCTGTCCTCGGGCAACAAGGTGCTGAGTCATCCTTGCGGCGAGGCCGTACAGCCGCTGCGCTGGTAGCGGCACCTGGGGCAGGGGCAGAGGTGTTGTGGGTTGACAGGGAAGTTTGCTGCCGGGTTCTCATCTGAATCTAGCGGGCTGGGTGAACTTTCTCGGGGACCAGGCACCCAAACTCATCAATGCTCACGGAGGCATAAGCCCTTGGATTAGGGTCGGTAGTATTTTCCCCATTTTATAGCAACGACATCTGAGTCTTAGAGATCCACACTCCTCACAAGGTCACTTCTAACCTGTCAGAAGCGGGATTCCCACTCTGGGCTGTTACGCCACATGGAGGTCACTCTGAGCTGGACCTCTTCGGCCCCAACCAGTGGACTGAGTACTGAGGAAGATACAGGACAGCCATAGGTTGAGATGATGTAATGGCACGAAAGTTCCAAAAGCGCTGGGTGTTTTCCCAAAGGCCGGGTGCCGAATTTTAAGACCCTTAATAGTTCAGTTGCAGAGCTCGGAGGACGCTCGGGTATCTTAAAGCAATAGTTCTTAGCTTTTGGAGTGTTCGTTAAAACACACGTTCTTGGTCTTATTCCTAGGGGTAGAATCATTAGGAGCAAAGAAAGACCCAGGAGCCTACATTTTAAGATGCATCCGGGGCACTTTCAAGCAGGTAGTCTAAGGGTCAACGCTGTAGTCTGAACACGGAATCCTTATGTTACAGATGGGGAAATGGGCCCAGAAGTATATCACTTGCCTAGAATTCACTACAAATCATTGGCAGAGATGGGCTGGTAGCCCCAGTTGGTTTACACTCGTCATTTCATTCTGACCTATTGTAGTCACCTCACCTTAGCATTACAGAAACACTGTCTGCTGACTTCTGGTTGACCACCCATCTAGTATAATGTGCCCTGGAGCTAAGATAATCCAGTTTTTAGCATGCTTTTCTTTTGAAGACACCATCGAGGGAGTCTAATGTAAGGGAAACCTGGTTGGTAACTGAGTTTACTTGTTTACTTTGAAAGACTAAATGTCCTTTACGCATTATAGTAGGACATATAGAATAGGTTAACTTAGAATATTTTTATATCTCATGTTGAAGGAAAGTAATATTTGGTATGATTAGCTGAAATTCATATAGTTGGCTTCTTTTAATACCTTTTAGCTTTGTAATGCAGTATAACCTTGAAGAGCTATTCATGTCTTCTTTGGATGACACTATTCCTTTGCCCAAAAGTTATGTAGATTCTTTTAAATTTTCCCACTGGATGCTGGTATAAATCTTAAGCCAAAACTACATTTGTAAAAACCATCACAGACTCTGTAATCACGTCCAGTTATTAACAGCCGTTCTGTGTTACACATAATTTTTGCAGTCATCTATTTTGATTGGTCAAACTGGGACTTAAACCTAGTTTGTTCCTCCATCTTCAGCTGTGTTCTCTGGGATGGGTTTCTTGCATTACAGTGGATGGTTGGGCAAAGAATTCATCGCTGAAAATTAAAAAGGTCGCTTTATTTCCTGTTCTACTAAAAAATAGTTTGTTCCTTGACTCTGACTCTCATATGTCCTTCTCTTAATTGGTTAGTAGGTTGTTTTACTTATGTTTTTTTGGTTGGTTTTGCCTTTTTTTTAAACTAGCATTTCAGATCTGCTCGGTAGACCTGGTGCACCACCACCATGTTGGCTGCAAGGCTGGTGTGTCTCCGGACACTACCTTCTAGGGTTTTCCACCCAGCTTTCACCAAGGCCTCCCCTGTTGTGAAGAATTCCATCACGAAGAATCAATGGCTGTTAACACCTAGCAGGGTAAAGATAATCTGAATGTTTTTATATTGCTTCTTTTTCCATTTGTGCCCTTTCTTTTTGGCAGAGTATGGCTGCTCTGCCTTTAGTGTGTTATACGTCAGTTAGCCCTGATAATATCCCCAATCAGCTCTTTCTCCCCATTAGTTTGTATCATTCTGGTCCCTCCTTATCCCATATGAAATAGAAAATGAGTTTCTGTAACTCTGTCTTCGCTTACAGCTTCTGGAGTTTCTCATTTAGAAAATTTAGAGTACATTGTGAGGGATTGAGAGTTACATAGTGTAACGGAGATCCTGGAGCACATAGTCAGAAGTTTAAGAACCCAGGGATATTACCAGTTGGCCAATAGCTTATTAATAAATTACTAAATATATTATCTCTTATTTAGAGGTTGATAATATCTGTCAGGTTAGAAAGAAACCCATTTTTATAATAGATTTATCTTCTGGCATTCAGATTATAAGGTTTGAAGTGTGAGGTAATGAGGACAATATAAAGAAGCTAGGAGACATTTTCTCTTTTAAATTAACTGTTCCACTGTTGAAAAAGAGCCACAATGGAAGTAGTAGTCTTCCCTCTTCTTGGCTTCATGTTAAGGAAAGATGCTGTTCTTGAGTCCATATCCCAGATGACAAAATATAGCTAATAATGCTTGTAGAATGCATATCTTAAAAATGCTAACAGATTCTCACCCTGGTATTTGGTTAGGATTTAAAATATAACAATTCTAGGTATGTAAATCTATAGTTTGTGAAAGAAACAATTTTTCTGAAATTGAAACTAAGAATAATATAATGAATTACTAACTTCCAAAGGTGGAGCACAGGGAAGGTCTACATTTATTTATTTATTTTTACATTTAGTTTTTTAAGTTGGCTAATAAATTTCCATAGTGAAGTTAGGTATATAGAAAGTACCAAGTTTCTTTAACTAGAGTTTTCTAGTGTAAAGGGATCTTGCATTTTATTTTATTAACGTTCTGTTTTCATGTGGGTGGTACGTGTCTTTGTTTGCATGTGTGTCAGGAATATGCCACCAAAACAAGAATTGGGATCCGGCGTGGGAGAACTGGCCAAGAACTCAAAGAGGCAGCATTGGAACCATCGATGGAAAAAATATTTAAAAGTAGGTGGCTATCTTTAGTTTTTAACCTAGAATCTATGGATATGTTTTAAGAGGTCCATGAACAACTTCCTAAAAATATATGTGTATTTGTGCATTTTCTGGGAAGACCACATTATTATTCTGAGATCTGACGACCCAGAAAAGATTGGTACTTTGCACTGGATTCAGTGGTTATCAATCATATTTCTTCCAGTGGAAATTTTACTTTCCTTTTTTTTAAAGAAAAGGATTATTAATATGCCATGGTCCAAAAGGTATACTCTGTTGAGAAAGTTCATTTTAAGTGTGTAGAATCCTCATTCAAGCATATAATATTTGTGTATGTTTCAGATTAAGAATAAATCACCAACACATAGATGTTAATAAAAGCCTAGCTGTCCAAGAAGAATCCTTTAACTCACTGCTCACATAGGGCCTCAGGAGGGCAGTACTTTAATATATTGCCAGTTTGGTTCAGTTTGGATATCAACTTTGCAAGTTCAGAAACTAGATTGTTAATCATCCTAAAGCTATTCAAAGAATACCACTGCTCCTTAATAATCTTGCAAAATGTCTTTACAGTGGGAGAGAGCCCTAATCAGTATCCTTCAGGTCATTTCTTTCTGATTTGACCCTAGAGACCAAATCATGCAAATTATGTAGTGACAGCCTAGTAATATTCTTAGTAAACGAATTAGACTAAAAGAATAAGATGCCCTTTATGAATACCTCTATTGAGTTAGAGTTGATTAGTTGCCTCTCAGTACCCTAAAACGGGAGCCTCCTCTCACTTGATTCTGCTGCATAAACACTGATTATATTTTCTCTTTTTTCTTGATTTCCACGTAAAGCATCATTTGTGTTAATACCATGCAGTATGGTATGACTGTTAACATTTCCTTCTCATTTTTTACTTTCCATGAATGTCATGTGAATATACTTCAACCTCTTATTAGTAAAATAATAGGTATCACAGAAGTAGCTCCACGTCTACAGGTATACTGCTCCCTCAAATATTGTTGGAGGGAGGTTGAAGATTCACCAAGCCTGATCCTTTCTTTTTTGTACTGATTTTTACACCTTTGTTTCAGGAGTGTTTTTTTCTACTGGTTACCTAACATTGAGGCAATTTCTGTACCCCATATGCACTGATTATGGCTTCTATTAAATATGGTACATGATTTGATTCCCTTGATAAATATTTTAAAGGCTTTGTCCAGATGTGCCAGTACTAACCTGCATTTCCTTCTGTGTTCTGCAGTTGATCAGATGGGAAGATGGTTTGTTGCTGGAGGGGCTGCTGTTGGTCTTGGAGCATTGTGCTACTATGGCTTGGGACTGTCTAATGAGATTGGAGCTATTGAAAAGGCTGTGTAAGTAAATTGTTTTAAGTAAACTGTTCCTAAACAACTCCAGCCTTAAAACAAAAATTCAAATTTTCTTCTCATTCCTATCTTTAGTCACTTTGGAATGTTTTGTGTCTAGTCTTTGTGTATACACACAAATAGAGAATCTCTTTTTGCTTCTTTGACATTTATTTATTCAAATCTAAATAAAAATCTTTTAGCAAGGTTATATGTGTTTAAGCAAAGAGAAAATATGAAATATGTTTTTTGTTTGTTTGTTTGTTTGTTTTTTTGGAGAGAGAGTCTTGCTCTATCTCCCAGGCTGGGGTGCAGTGGCGCGATCTTGGCTCACTGCAACCTCCGCCTCCTGGGTTCAGGCAATTCTCCTGCCTCAGGCTCCTGTAGGTGGGATTACAGGCACATGCCACCATGCCCGGCTATTTTTTGTATTTTTAGTAGAGACGGGGTTTCACCATTTTGGCCAGGCTGGTCTCGATCTCCTGACCTCAGGTGATCCACCCACCTCAGCCTCCCAAAGTGCTGGGATTACAGGCATGAGCCACCGCACCCAGCCAAAAATATGTTGTTTTTTATATGTGCTTGTATGTTTTATCTCATTTAGTCCTTACAGTAACTCCCAAGTATGCATAATTATCATAATTATTTCCATGATAAATGAAGTGAATAAGATTTAAAGTGTAAAATGATTTATCCCGAGGTCGCCCAGCTAGTGTGTGACTCAACCAGAAATCAAATCTGTAATTTCATAGATTAATCATGTCATGTTTCTTACAGAATTTGGCCTCAGTATGTCAAGGATAGAATTCATTCCACCTATATGTACTTAGCAGGGAGTATTGGTTTAACAGCTTTGTCTGCCATAGCAATCAGCAGAACGCCTGTTCTCATGAACTTCATGATGAGAGGCTCTTGGGTGGTAAGTCAGCTGTTTTTGTTTTCCTTTTTCATCTAAAGATCAAAAGATTAGATAAAATATATTGGAGGGAAGGGTTATTAAATGGAAAGAATACTGTATTGAACAAGTTTTTGTTCAAATAATGTATGAATTACAGGTTGAGCATCCCTAATTTAAAATCCAGAAATGCTCCAAAATCCAAAACATTTGTAGTGTCAACATGATGCTCAAAGAAAATTGTAGCATTTCACATGTTGGGTTTTTGAATTAGGGATCCTGAACCCTAACAACAATGAAGTGTAATGATAAATAGTCCGAAATCTGAAGTCTGAAACACTTCTGGTCCCAGACATTTCTGATGAGAGTTACTCAACCTGTATTAGTGCAGCTGAGATAAAAGTAGGAAGTTCATTCTAGGTAGGTCAGCTATTATTCTTTATTAAACATGTATTCGAATAATACCAGAGGAGTTAGAAATCAAACTTACAGAGACAACATTTTTGTCTAGCAGCAGATATCAGACAGCCTCTAATTTGTAGCAGTTTACTAAAAAAATAAAGCAAATGCAAAATCATCTTAGAAGTCAGAGGGAAATGCCTATGCAGTTAAGAGCAGAATAGTGCTGCTACTATTATTCCTAAGATTCTTGACCTTATAGAAGATTTTATATTTAATCGGTTTCTCTGGAGCCCTTGTTATTTTGCTAGATAAGAGAATTTGAATATGTGTCCCCTATTCTCCTGCTATTTGGTAGAAGAGATGAACTGGAATAAGTGGCACAGATACGCAATAAGAAAGTGCAAAGTCAGTTGAGAGTTTCTGTCTTGGACTGTTAGGCAAGTTCCGTGAAGGAGACATTTATTTCATCAGGGTTGTTGAAGGCTAACATGTCTCATTTATTTTAGAAGTAGACAAGAGGGCCAGGTGCAGTGGCTCACACCTGTAATCTCAGCGTTTTAGGAGGCTGAGGCAGGAAGATTGCTTGAGCCCAGGAATTTGAGACCAACCTGAGCAACATAGTGAGACACTGTCTGTAATTTTTAAAGAAATAGAAAATTTTAAAAATTAAAAAAAAATTTTTTTAAGTAGACAAGGGCGGTCCAATTTTACCAAACAGTTTAAGGGAAGAGGAGGTAGGAAAACCTAATTTCAGAGGTGACTTACAATCCCATTAGAGGGAAATTCAAGTGTTTGAGGTCTGGAGGGTAAAGAAGACGTGGTTAGAAAGGATACAGTTGTCAAGCTGAGGAGAGAACCTAAGCAGTCGGAGGCCATTGGAGATACTGGAACAACAAAAGCGTGATTTATATTTGAGTTTTTAGAACCAATGTGGAAGAGACATGGAGCAGGTGTACCAGCTGTGCCTTTGTAAGATCTGAAATGAGGGATGATAAGAACCTGAACTAGAGCAGAGTGTGATACTGGAGGGGAAGGAGAGTTCATGTAACACTGATTCCCCACATAGGGACGAAAACCATATTATTTTCACTGTGTTGTACTTTACTAAAGGATAACCATTTACAGTAGCAGCCATTTGGATATTTATATATTCTTAGGATCATGCTTTTTCACATAGACGTCATGAATCTCCCAGCCCAGAGGTTCACAAAGGCACAGAATGTTTCACTGGGGATGTCAGTTTTAATCAGAAGCAAATAATTTAAAACAATACTTTTGTAATAAACATGACAATATTTACCTAAAATTTTAGGCCCTAAAATGAGGCTTCAAAGAAGTTTTGTGTTTGGGCCATATCCTCAGTCCCTTCTGGGCAAAAGATTACCCTCTTCCACTGTTAGTAATACAGAAAATAGGAAAGCCAAAGACAAGTGTTACAGAGATGAAGATGTAACCTTTTGGGTGTGACAGACATATATATACAAACACACACATAGACACACAGATAATGTCAAAGTTTGTCCCAAGTGCATCTGAGGAGAGGTATCTGATCTTGCTCTTGGGCAGCCAGGGTACCTACTAGAAAAAGCTTTTGAGATGAGACAGTACCAGAGTAAGTCGACCAGATATGGAAGGAGATATTCTTAGGCATGATGGATTGAATTAAGGAGGCCTGAAATTTTGGGGCATGTTGGCAGCTGTGCCAGTTCCGTATGGTTGGAATGCAGAGTTTGGAGTGAGACTGGATCATAGAAGATCTTAAAAAAATTTAATTGCTGCTGTCCACAGAGGATGTGTGAAATAGTTTGTAGTAATTATTTCTCGTTAGAAAATGGTGGAGTGGAGCTCGATATGCTTTTCTTTTCTTTTTAATGTTTTTTAAAAATAGAGACTAGATCTCTATGTTTGCCTAGGCTTGGCTTAAATTCCCAGGCTCAAGTGGTCCTTTCACCTCAGCCACCCAAGTAACTGACATTACAGGTCCATACCACTACACCCAGCTCAGTATGCTTTTTCATGTTAAGGTTTTCCCATTCTTGGCAAAACCAGCTATTTGGTTTACCTGTACTTTATATTAGAGGTTGAATATTTTGATGTTCATAGGTGAGACAGATAATACAGATGAGTGAGGAGGCCTAGTGTGTCACACAGGAGATTGTTGACATCTAGAGGTTACTGACATCTAGAGTTAACCTTTTCAACTAAAACCATTCACCATGTTCTTTTTTTTTGTTTGTTTTTTTAAACATAGTTTGCCAAACAAAACATCTGTGGCCTGATTCCAAGGGCTACAAGTTTGCAATCTCTGATTTAAATTTCTTGGAGATTAGCACCATCTTATTTCCATTACATGTTAATACATTCTTCTTGTCATACACAAGCAATATTTAATTATAACACTGGAAATCTAAGATAGGCAAAGAAAAGGAATGAGGACCAAATTAGCCATAAACCTGGAAGGGTAGAAGTGTAGAATCTTATTTCTCATTTTTCTTTTCCATGTGCTGTGATAATCTACTTTCTATTTTTCAAGTCTTCATTTAGCAAATATGGAGTTCAAAGTGATGTGCTATATATATTTTTTTTAAAAATTACTAATTTGTAAGCATCACTGATTTTAAAGAAAATGCTATTTGTGCTATACAAAAATATATTTTTTAATTAAGAGTTAATTATCTTGGGATCCCTAAAGGGTTTTTGTTTCACCTCTGTCCAACAAGAGTAAAATTGTTAAAAGATGTGTTGCCAGTTCAAGCTTAAGACATGCATTTGAAGCTGTCTGCAAAACCTCATATATGGCAGTAGGGGGCACTCGTGCTAACTTAGCCAAAACTCTGAAATAAACCCAGAGCTTTTAATGTGCCAGAAAAATTAAAGTTTTTATTTTTTATTTTTTATTTTTTATTTTTTTATTTTGAGATGGAGTCTCGCTCTGTCACCCAGGCTAGAGTGCAGTGGCACGATCTTGCCTCATTGCAACCTCCACCTCCCGGGTTCAAGTGATTTTCCCACCTCACTCAGCCTCCCAAGTAGCTGGGACTACAGGCGCGCACCACTGCGCCTGGCTAATTTTTGTATTTGTAGTAGAGACAGGGTTTCACCAGTTAGCCAGGCTGGTCTCAAACTTCTGACCTCAGGTGATCCACCTGCCCCAGCCTCCCAAAGTGCTGGGATTGCAGGCGTGAGCCACCACGCCTGGCCTTAAGCTTTGATTTATTATCTTTAATATTTTTACAACTAGTTTATTAGAAGTAACTAATTGTACTTCAAACCTGTGGGTTTCTGCTTTGTTTTCATATAAAGATCAGTTTTTCTTAATAGTACTTGTCTTTCAGACAATTGGTGTGACCTTTGCAGCCATGGTTGGAGCTGGAATGCTGGTACGATCAATACCATATGACCAGAGCCCAGGCCCAAAGCATCTTGCTTGGTTGCTACATTCTGGTATGTTCTGTTTTAAATTGTTACGAGACAACCTTGACTACCACCTTTTTTGGGTGGCTCTTCACAGTTGTAAATGACCTACATGGAATTTAAGCCTCATGTTTAGAAAACACCATTTTCTTCAGTCATTACTGGCTGCATTATTGCCAGACCTTTGCTTTGAAAAGTTGATTTTGCTAAGACCATGGACATCTTCAATACGAAACTTGTATCTTCTGACAGTCTAGTATATGCAGAGATTTACTTTTGTGTATTTTGTTCGATACCAGGAGGGTTTTATATCTAGTACGCATCATTTGAGAGTTGTTTTTGTCTGGTATGTTTAGAAAAATTAAAAACTGAGGATAGAGAAAGTTGTGCTAAAAATGTTGCTGCGAAATAACAAAAAACTGAGAGGAGTCCTAATAGAAGTGTTCTGTGTAGAAATTTCACCCACTGTTTTGCCTAGAGCAAAAAGTATTTTTAAATTATTCATCATCATGAGATAGTATACCTTATTAACCATATAACTTGATCTAGAAATGTTATTCTTTAAGCTAGTATTGAAAATTCAGTATAAAGATAGCTTTGTGCCTAGTCTATGAGGTAAACGACATTTAAGAAAAAGGTAACTTATTCTTCTTAGCACTGAAATAATGCATTATCTAAGTTTTTTTTCAATTAAGGAGTTCCATTTACCTTTGTTGAATTACTGGTAAATTTTTTACGAAATTGTTTATAAATATCTGACAACTAAAATTACTTATTTATAAGCTGTTAGCAGTCCTTATTACATAAAGAAACAGCAGTGTCTGTCTTAGAAGTTCCCACATTTTAAGTTTATCATCATATGCTTTCCCTTTTGACAGCAGTAGGTTTGACCTTGAGTTATTTGTTTTAAGCTTGTTTATCTCAATTATTATATGAATGTTGTAGAAACTAGTGGTAAGCTCAGATTCAAATAGCTACATGGAATTTGATGGTTACTAAATAAGTAGATTAGTGTTTGCTTGTGAGTGTGATTGATTAGGAATAGTGTTAATGTTGTGATATAGAATTTGAGTAGTCACCAATTTGGGCTGTAGAATTTGGTGGGGGTAGTATTATCTAAAGGCAGAACTTTTTGAATCATAGTGCTTAAACAGTAAGGTATAATATAAAGTGGCATGTTAGAAGTGATATTTTCCTTTTGCTTGTTATTTAGTAAATACTTAATGAGCACTTCCTCTTTCTCCAGGTGTGATGGGTGCAGTGGTGGCTCCTCTGACAATATTAGGGGGTCCTCTTCTCATCAGAGCTGCATGGTACACAGCTGGCATTGTGGGAGGCCTCTCCACTGTGGCCATGTGTGCGCCCAGTGAAAAGTTTCTGAACATGGGTGCACCCCTGGGAGTGGGCCTGGGTCTCGTCTTTGTGTCCTCATTGGGTAAGCTGCTGTGTTTTAACACTTAATTCTTGGTGCATAGTTTCCTGTAACCTGAAATACTCCAATATCCTAATTGATTGAGTCATTTATTTTAAAAGTTTTTTTAAAGATTTATGCTAATTTGACTGGATTTTACTACCTGACATCATATAAAAATCATGGCAACATGGTCAACCATTATTACTGGCTTTACCAAACACATCTAAAATGGGAAAGTTGGTCTGGAGAACATGAATATTGCTCTGATGCAAGAACCTTCCTGTGAAATGGGCAAGTGGCTCATTGGAGGAATGAGTATCATGGATTTTGAACTAATGCAAATAAGATTAGACAGTACATGTACCCAGATGTCGTCTTACCTACACAGTATACCAAGGAGATTTTTTTTTAAGTAATATAAATCATAAACTCAGTTATCGGAAATCCTTTTTTAAAAAAAATCTTGTTTTCGCATTTTGATTTCAGGATCTATGTTTCTTCCACCTACCACCGTGGCTGGTGCCACTCTTTACTCAGTGGCAATGTACGGTGGATTAGTTCTTTTCAGCATGTTCCTTCTGTATGATACCCAGAAAGTAATCAAGCGTGCAGAAGTATCACCAATGTATGGAGTTCAAAAATATGATCCCATTAACTCGTAAGTAATGCTTTTTATTTAACACTGTTACTCTGTCACATAAGGATGCTTGTGTGTATTTGACCTGTTTTGGTTTATGGCTGTATTAGTTTTCTAGGGATACTGTTAACAAAGTATCGCAGACTGGGTGGCTTAAAACAAAACTTGATTCTCTTGTAGTTCTGGAGGCCAGAAATCTAAAATCAAGGTGTTAGCAGAGTTGTACTTCTGAGGGCCCTGAGGGAAAATCTGTTCCCTGCCTCTCAGCTTCTTGTTACTGCTGGCAGTCCTTGACATTCCTTGGCTTGTAGATGGATCATTCCAGTCTCTGTCTCCATCTTCACATGGTGCTCTTCCTGTGTACCAGGGATTAGGATTTCATTATATTTTGTTGGGGGGCAGAGGAGGGTCACAGCTCAAACCACACCAATGGCTTTGTCAGATTTCCTGTTTTACTTCTGTTGCAGTTTTGTCTGTTCTCTCTTTAGTAAACTATCCAAAAAAACCTCTTGATTTTATTGCAACTTAGTGTAATACTTAGGTATTCATTCCATTATCAGAATATTTTGTCTATTTTTGTGAGCCAGTGTCAGGGTGCAATAAATAATGTGCTCTTACTGCTCAGTTAATTTTTTTGGTAGTGTATTTTGCAGACTTTAAAACTGAAGAAATGTATTAATCAAGTATTATTTATTGGAAAATGTATATAATTGACATGGAATTTTTAATAGAAAAGCCTATTTTATACTTCTAGAAATTAGAAACTCTTCAGTATAAAGAGTCTAGTTTCAGAGATATGCAACTTTAGTTGGTATTAATTGTTATTATGTTTTTTTCTTTTTTCTTGGAGTCGACCAAAGTGGGTTATTTTATTTAAACAATTTTCTTGAGTTTCATTGTGTCTGTCACATTTTTTTAAAGTAATTTGATTTTATCTAAAAATAAAACTTAATGTAATGGTTTAGGGGGAAGAAAAAGTTGCTGTACTGTAAAGCTTACAGATTTGTAGAAGTTTTCTTTAGAGGGGTGAAGTGGGTCTTTTATATTAAAAAATGCTAGACTTGTGTCTAACAGGTTTTTATAAAGGTGTTTCTTTGGTCTTGTTTTGATTATTTCATTGTCTGCCACCTAGTTTTCTTTGCAAGTTGATATATGCAGAGTGTCAGAGAATAAAATAATGATTTTTTTAAACTGCTCTTTAACATTTAAAAGATGAGTCTGCCAAAAGGAAGACCTTAACTATTTTCTAGTCTAGTACTTCATTAGTTGGCAGTTAAACATCTTATTTTTAATTTCCATTTTATATCACTAAGACAAATAGTATTTTTCTTCTTTTCTATATTAAGAATTCAACATCACTATTAGAATTGCATCATATATAATGGGCATAATTTTCTTTTCTAGGATGCTGAGTATCTACATGGATACATTAAATATATTTATGCGAGTTGCAACTATGCTGGCAACTGGAGGCAACAGAAAGAAATGAAGTGACTCAGCTTCTGGCTTCTCTGCTACATCAAATATCTTGTTTAATGGGGCAGATATGCATTAAATAGTTTGTACAAGCAGCTTTCGTTGAAGTTTAGAAGATAAGAAACATGTCATCATATTTAAATGTTCCGGTAATGTGATGCCTCAGGTCTGCCTTTTTTTCTGGAGAATAAATGCAGTAATCCTCTCCCAAATAAGCACACACATTTTCAATTCTCATGTTTGAGTGATTTTAAAATGTTTTGGTGAATGTGAAAACTAAAGTTTGTGTCATGAGAATGTAAGTCTTTTTTCTACTTTAAAATTTAGTAGGTTCACTGAGTAACTAAAATTTAGCAAACCTGTGTTTGCATATTTTTTTGGAGTGCAGAATATTGTAATTAATGTCATAAGTGATTTGGAGCTTTGGTAAAGGGACCAGAGAGAAGGAGTCACCTGCAGTCTTTTGTTTTTTTAAATACTTAGAACTTAGCACTTGTGTTATTGATTAGTGAGGAGCCAGTAAGAAACATCTGGGTATTTGGAAACAAGTGGTCATTGTTACATTCATCTGCTGAACTTAACAAAACTGTTCATCCTGAAACAGGCACAGGTGATGCATTCTCCTGCTGTTGCTTCTCAGTGCTCTCTTTCCAATATAGATGTGGTCATGTTTGACTTGTACAGAATGTTAATCATACAGAGAATCCTTGATGGAATTATATATGTGTGTTTTACTTTTGAATGTTACAAAAGGAAATAACTTTAAAACTATTCTCAAGAGAAAATATTCAAAGCATGAAATATGTTGCTTTTTCCAGAATACAAACAGTATACTCATGATTGCTAAGTGTTTTTTTATTTTTGCATATTTATTGAACTGTCTAATTGAATACAGCTTGCTCTTGTCACCTCTTCAAGCTTTCAAGCCTTTATAGAAAAGCTTCTTTGTGGCTTACACTGGAAATTATGAAAGCAGTTTTTCTCCTAAGACTTTTGGTTTCTCGCATTGCCTCTCAGACTAAGCACTAAAAAGCAAAGCAAAACAGAACTAGTTCTGTCTTAATGAAATATATCAACCCAAAAGTGTAATGAGGAAAATGCTTCATTAGTTTCCCCTAGCAGACTTTTACTTCTCTTACACTGCTACACCATTACTTTCTTGAGACATTTGTAAGTTCTTTGATACAGAAGAGTTATATTTAGAAGTCTTTAATGAAGGGAAAGAAGTCTGTATGATGACTGAGGTGATTGCTCTTTTTGACAAATGTTTATTACAGTAATGCAGAAATACTGTTAATCATCTCAAAGTACATAGGAGGCTTATTTCTGAAACAAAGGTTTCAGCCAGATGTTGATTAGTCTAATTTTTCCAAGTGAATCATATGCATGCCATTTGAATAGGGATTTCTTCAAGAAAGCAACTTAGTTTCTTGCCAGTATAGTATAGTGCAGTGTGATAAGTACATGATACTTGTAGCTAGACTACCTCTATTTGAATCTCAACTCTTATTTCTTATGTGACCTTGGGCAAATTACTTAACCTCTGTGTGCCCAGTTTCCTCTCCTGTAAAATGAATATATTGGAACCTGTCTTATAGGTTTATGGTTAAACGTGCAGGCACTTAGTAAGCATTACATAAGTCTTAGCTATTGATGCTTTTTTTTATTAGTAAAAATGTAAATGCCAATTTTCTATTTTTCTTCTCCCCATCCTGATACCCATATCAGTGTGATCTTAAAGTGCCTGTTTTCCTTAGTCACCTTTTAGAACCCAAAGTTTATGTCTTTTTTAAATTAATATCACACACAAAATGATATCATTTCAGTGATGGTATCAGGCAGTTTATCTAGAAAACCAAGGATTTTTTTACTGTTTTACTTTTTTTTTAAATAGAGGGGTTCAGTTTGGTCTTAAATTGGATTCAAACAATCCACTCACCTTGGCCTTCCTAAGTGTCGGCATTACTAGCTTGAGCCACTGCCCCCATCCTGGGTTGTTTTGTTGTTGTTGTTGTCGTTGTTGTTAATTTAATGACATTATGTTATTGGACTTCTTCTGACTTTGCTAAGACAATGAAGGCTATGCAAAATAATATATAAAATGTGGCCGGGTGCGGTGGCTCACGCCTGTAATCCCAGCACTTTGGGAGGCCGAGGCAGGCAGATCATGAGGTCAAGAGATGGAGACCATCCTGGCCAACATGGTGAAACCCTGTCTCTACTAAAAATACAAAAATTAGCTGGGCATGGTGGTGTGCATCTGTAGTCCCAGGTACTTGAGAGGCTGAGGCGGGAGAATCGCTTGAGACAAGGAGGCGGAGGTTGCTGTGAGCCAAGATCGCGCCACTGCACTCCAGCCTGGCAACAGAGCAAGACTCCGTCTCAAAAAGATAAATAAATAAATAACATATAAAAGGTAAGCTGATATATAAAATGTGATCGTTTGTAAAACATACCAGTTGTAAATGGTAATAGAAAAAAATCACTAGTTTCTTGGCTCTTAACATACCACAGAGTTTTTGTTTTTTTTTTTCCTCATTCACAGCGAAGAGTAATGACCTGCAAAGTGATAGGCTTTAGGTAAAAAAGTAAATGTCCATTTTTCATTTTCTGACATCGTCTGAAATACTAGAGGATAAATGAAACATGTTTTAAAATAATCCCGAGAAAAAAGGCCCTTTGAGTTGTTGCTTAAAATGGCATCTACTGAACAGTCAGAAAACATGAATTTTTTATGTAACAGGTGCCATGCTAGCTGGGCCCAGGGGAGACAATGATGAATAAAAGTAATTGCCTTCTAAAGCATATCAAATCCGTGTAAACACGGCCATAGGCCATTGGATGAGTGTCACAGAAAGGTAAGCAAAATGGAAATGCAGACTGAATAATAAGTTTCTAAGATGGCCCAGGAGGAAATTTTCAAGAGTAAGCATAGTAGGTAAAGCACACAGAAAAAGGTAGTATGGGCATTTCATACAATGGATGCTTGATGGGGGAGGGCTGCAGGGAGAGATGGACAAAGTGGAAAAAGATGGTAAGAAATGGAAATTCTCTTGAAGCTGGATTTCCCACTTGCTGCGGGTGTGTGCTTTGCTTAACATGTTAAAACCTGCAGGCGTGGTGGCTCATGCCTGTAATCCCAACACTTCGGGAGGCTGAGGCAGGAGGATTGCTTGAGCCCAGGAGTTCAAGACCACTCTGCACAACAAAAAAACCCATCTCTACCAAAAATTTAAAAATCAGCAGGGTGCAGTGGCGCATGCCTGTAGTCCCAGCTACTCAGGAGGATTGCTTAAGTCTAGCATTTCGAAGCTGCGATTGTGCCACTGCACTCCTGCTGGGCAAAAAAAAAAAAAAAAAACTAGGAAGACAGGCAGGCATGTTTACCTTGAAATTGTATCTGGGTAACGTGTCCAGGTTAAAGGTACTAAAACTGAGTGATACCCAAGACATATAATTCCAGTGGGGTAGGGTGGCCCAGCTACACTAGTAATAGCTGATGTTTGAATTGAACTCTTTGCCCAAAGTTTGATCTTTGCACAAGGTCATATGGCTGGGAAGAATAATGAGACAAACTCCCTAACCAATTATGCCGGGAGGATAGATGATAGATCTAAAATCGTGTAGGACACAGCCATATAAAAGAAAGCAAGCTTGTCCTTATAGAGTTAGCTGGAGGCCATCATCCTGTTACAAACAACAAATTAACCCAGGAACAAAAAAACAAATGCCCCATGTTCTCACAAATGGGAACTAAACATTGGCTACTCATGGACATAAAGATGGTAATAATAGATACCTGGGATTCCTAGAGGAAGGAGTGGGGCAAGGGTTGAAAACCTATTGGACACTGTGCTCGGTATCTGGGTGATGGGATCATTGGTACTCCAAACCTCAGCATCACGCAGTATACACAAGTAACAACCTGCACATGTATTCCATGAATCCAAAGTAAAAGTTGAAGAAGTAGAATTTTGCTTGAGAATCACAAAAGCACTATACAAATTAAATAGGTTGAGATTCTATTAAAGTGTAAGTCACTTTTAAAATCTTGGGAATCAGTATTCTGAGTAAATTAAAGGAAATAGAACAGGAACATTTTAGTTTTCTGTGAAAAAAAAATTGACCTCAGTGAAGGATACTGGAAATCATCGTGCCTTCCTCACATCTATTTCTTACGGTACAAAATAGTCCTTTTTTGTATTGCCCAGTTCACTCCGAGCTACAAATCAAAATTGACCATTTTTTAAGGTCAATTTCATCAATAAGATGAAATCCTAAATGCATTCCATTTTTAACTAGCACAAAATGGAAATGACTTTTCAGGAATAGATTAGAAAGCTATGACCTTGAGGACTTTCCACCTTTAAAGTAAGATTCTTTTGTGAAGCAATTCAGGAAGATGGACGGTGAACATTCAATTCATTAACATCTGAGAACCATGAAGAGAGTATTTTTTGCCACAAGCAAAAATGAACCTAAATAAAAGACTGGTGGGGGAGGAGAATCATAACGACCATTATGGCCCGCATCTTATGGGCTGCTGCGCAGTTAGCATGAGGGGAGGCCTTGCACAAGCTCTTCCCCTCAGCCTCAGCATCCTGTTCTGCCTCATTTGTGGCTTGCGTCAGACTGAGTCACCCAGCGCAATGTCACTCTTCCTCAGGGGACTTCTCTCAACCTTCCACCTTCTACAGAGAGCTTGATGGATGGTGAGGTTGTTGCAACCTCACTGGATACAGATAGTAGAAGTGCGAGGATCCCCGTGGCTACACTCGAGATAAAATTAATGTGTTCTGGCAGGACTGAATGGACGTTTTTCCTCACAACCGTATACGCAAGTTTAGTAGTTTTTAAACATTCAATTTATGCTTTCCACTGGGCAATTTGTAAAAGCAGCATGATGACCCACAGGTATGGTGTCAGTGGGCCATCATTCCTCCAAGTTAACCCTCCATATGCCTGACATGGATTTTCTCACCTGTGTCCCCAGAGTGTTTTTACACAGTCAACAGAGAAAACAGGTCCATGGCCATCTCATTGGAGGAATGTTACAGGTTTATTTTATTTGCTTAGTAGTTGAATTATCTCATTTCTAAGAGACAGCATTTTTTTGCATTTCATTTCTGAAGTGCATATTCTATTTCAGGATTTTTCTTTTTTTTCTCAAAACTAGCATGTCTTAAAGTCAGTGGCATTTTAAAATGGAAAAATATTTGCCGGTGGTTTTCTTTTTCCCATGATTTTCTAATACTTCACTGTCCTGTAAGAACAGATATCTAAAGCATTGTCTTTTGATAAATGACCTCAGTAACTAATTATTACTTATTTATGATTCAGAGGGGATCTTCTGAAGTACAAACAAGCTCACCCCACCCAGTTATGTACTTTTTTGAAGATTTCTTTTTCTTTTTTTTTTTTTTTTTTTGCTTAAGCAACAAAAATTTATTTTCTTACAGTTCTGGAGGCTAGAAATCCAAGTCCAAGGTTCCAGCATGTTCTGTTTTTGGTGAAGGATCACTTTTATTTTTCTGAGACCGAAGTGCTGGGATTACAGGCATGAGCCACCACACTCAGTCAAGGATCACTTTCTAGCTTGTAGATGGCAGCCTTCTTGCTGTGTCCTCACATGGTGGGGTTGGGGGAAGAAGAGAGAAGGCCCAGTTACGTACTTTTAAGTATGCAGGCTGAACGGACTGAGGTCAGCAACACAGAATGACCCCCAAACAGGAATATAAATGGAAGTTAAGAAAGGGCACGTTACTGGTTTGGTATGATCTGTTAGTAGAGTTAGGGATTTAATAGGTTCATTCCATTTGGTACACCTTGAGGGAATGAACTGTTAGCACCAGCTGTGGGGAAACACAAGGATGAATGGCTGGAAACCCATCATTCTAGAAGACAGCATCCAATGAGCAGTGGGAGTGGGTAGTTGCTAGGAGGATCTAATTCTAGAGAGAGAAGGCAGTGCTGGAGGCAGAAGCCTTTACTGTGGGTGGGGAATGTTAATCATTAGAAGCCACTGTTTTAAGAGATTAAATCAACATTTATTAGACACTCTAAAGTAGTACGAGAGTAGTTAAATGATAAGAAATAGCAACACACTTCAATGATTCAAGGTAATTATAAAATCATTATCCAGAAATTACAAGAGGTTTATTCAGACTAATTGCCACCGGAGTTCAGAGGACGGAAGCAAATATGAGGAGTGCATATAGGGACATTTGAGTCCAAACGCACCAGCCCAGAAGGGTTGGTACTTTGTGGAAAGGGGAATGTCTGGCCTGGCTCGCATGTGTAGCATCATGGGGACTTCCTGATCTCCTTTGCAGAGAACCCAACCTTCTCTGCCTGCAAGACCCTGACAAAAATGTGGGTATTCTTGAAAAGCTATAAAATGTCCTTCAGGACTCTGCTGTGTGACAATCAAATGACGCCACCCTTAACCACACTGTTTCTCAGAAGATGCAAGCATGATTGCCTTCCTCATTTAAATAGAACGGTTATTTAAAAAGAAGTTGGATAAATTATGACAAGACTTTCACTGTTATTAATTCTGAGTGGCAGAAAAAAATGGGCATTTGATAAGAAAATGGGGCTTTTGGTATCTTTTTTAGTACATTATAGCTGCCCTTAAGTAATTTTGTAAAAGGCAAAGGACACATGGGGAGAAAATGAAAATTATGGAAACACTTTACAAGGAGCTTTCCAGATCCGGGAACTAGTGGAATGGCCCAGGAAAGCAGTCTCTCCGCCCTGCGGAACTGAACCCAGGGCCTTCAGGGTCCTCCTAGCCTGGCTCCTTCTGTGAGGTTGAAGTTTACCCCGGAGTACATGGCCCTAGCTTCACCTCCCACATCCCTGCCCTTTCCTGGGTGTGCTAGGTGTGGGGGTGAAAATGCGGAGGCAAGGTGACACATGTCTGCTGGGAAGCCTGCTGTCAAATTGCAAAGTACAGAACAGACGCTGACAAACAGGATCCATCTCAGCCCTACCTGCAGTTTTCCAGCTCTAAGCACCGGCAAAAGAGGAAAGCTTTGGCACTGCTAATCCTCCTTTCTACACAACCTCCCTCCCTCCTGCCCGAGTTCCTCCTCGCACTTGCTCTGTTTGTCCTCTCACCTTTCTCTGTCAAAATCTGCACTTGGATATGAGCCTAGGATCAGTCATTTGGACCTTAATTTCAGTGTGTGTGCTTCCTTTGCCTCAAATTGTGGCAAGAAAAATAGTCGTTCCTCATTAAAGCAGTATCAGCTATCCTTGAGCACAAGTGGGAGGTTGGGTATTTTTTGGAGACAGATTGCTGTTGAAAAAGAAAGGAAGATCAGCAGTCCCACTACTGGCTATAAATTCTAGGGGAATTTAATCAGTATCTCGAAGAGATATCTGTACTCCTGTTTATCACAGCACTATTCATGATGGCCAAGATGTGGAATCAAGCTAACTGTCCATTAACAGATGAATAGATAAGGAAAATGTGCTATATATACACAATGGAATGCCACTCAAAAAATGCCTTTAAAAAGAATGAAATTCTGTTACTAGCAACAACAAGGATGAACCTGGAGGACCTTATGTTAAGAGAAATAAGCCAGGTACAGAAAGACAAAAAATGCACGTTTTCATTTCCATGTGGGATCTAAATCAAACTCATAGAAGCGGAGAGTAGAGTGGTGGTTACCAGGGGCTGGTGGGTGGGGGGGAATGAGGAGATGTTATAAATGATGTGTATTTATGGTGATGGATATGGTAATTAGTTTGATTCCATGATTCCACACTGTGTACATATAACATCACTGTGTCTGCCATGATAATATATTATTATAGTTTATCAAAAAATTAATTTTAAAATATACTTCATTATCATATTATAAATTAAAAATGAGAATTCTGCAGAAACTGGAAATCTAAGCCAGTGGTTACGATGTTAACCAAAAAGATCCAGAAGTTTAAAAAAAAAATTCCTGGGGAATAGTATTACATTTTGGATCAGCGTTAAGTTCAATTTCACTAGAATTTCAGGGTCAGAATGGCCTTGTTAGTTGAGTGTTCTAAACTCTTTTATCTGTAGTTAGGTACAATGGCATGTGCCTATAGTTCCAGCTGCCTGGGAGGCTAAGGTGGGAAGATCACTTGAGCCCAAGAGTTTGTTGATGAAAAGAATCCAACTCTGTAAAATATTTGAAGAGTTTTATTCTAAGCCAACTATGCATGACGATGGCCCATGACAGAACCCAGGAGATCACGAGAACATGTGCTCAAGGTGGTTGGGCTATAGCTTGGTGTTGTACATTTTAGGGAGACTTAAGATTTCGATGAATGCAGGTAAGATGTATATTGGTTCAGTACGGAAAGGTGGGACTACTCAGAGGGCTGGGGGGCTTCCAGATCATAGGTGGATTCAAAGATTTTCTGAATAGCAATTTGTTGAAAGTTTATCTAAAGATCTAGAATCAATTGAAGGGATTGTGTGGGTTAAGATAAGAGGTTGTGGAGACCAAGGTTCTTCTTATGCAGATGAAGCCTCCAGGTGGCAGGCTTCAGAGAGAATTGATTATAAATGCTTCTTATCAGACTGGATACTAGACTCTTAGTTAATTCTCTCCTGGATCTGGAAAAAGACCTGGAAAAGGATGAAAATCAACTCTACAGAATGTTGATTTTCCCCTCGAGACAGCTTTGCAGGGCCATTTCAGAATATGTCAAAGAAATACATTTTGGAGGTAAAATACGTATTTCTTTCAGGGCCTGCTAGCTGTAATATTGCTACAAAGAGTCTTCAGGTCTCTATTTTAACGTTAATGCTGGTCAGCTGTGCCTGAATTCCAACGGGAGGAGGGGGTAATGAGGCCTGTCTTCCCACCCATTCCCATCATGCCTGAACTAGCGTTTTAGGTTTACTTTAGAATGCCCTTGGCCCAGAGGAGGAGTCCACTCAATTGGTTGGGGATGGGGCTTAGAATTTACTTTTGGTTTACAAGTTTGAGGCTGTAGGGCACATAATATTATTGCACCTGTGAATAGGCACAGTACTGCAGCATGAGCAGCATAGCCAGAGGAGAACCTGTCTCAAAAAAGTAAAAGCCTTTTATCCTTAACTATTGTAATACTCAATTATAATAAACGTGGGGGGTAAGAAAAATTGAGAAAGGAAGGGAAAGCTATGTACCCCATTTCTGAAAATTGGCCACCTAAAATAATAAAAAATTATGTTCATATTGCATGGCGCTTTTAACATTACACTCTCATCCAGTGAATCTGTTCCTCTCCAGCTGCACCTACTATTTTACATCGAAAATAACAAAGGCACAGAGAAGTTGAGCAACTTGTGCAGGTCACACAGCTAAAACATAGGAGAGCGCTGGTTAGAGCATGGATCATGTGGCTGTAAAGCCTGTGCTATTTTAACAAGTGTAGGGGAGGTAGAAAGACACCAAATACAAGGGTCCTGAGTCCCCTACTTTAGGCTGAAACTTGGGCTGGGTATGAAGGGGTGGGGGCAAAAGACAGAAACTCCAGAGAGAGAGAGAGCAAGGCCAAACATGAAGGGGGTATGCTTATCAAGAGCCCAGGGACTGGTTTCACACATGCTTCAACACCAACCTAGAGTGGCCATGGGAGAATGAAAGACATTGCCTTTTAGTCTCATCTTTGTGGCATAGTGGAGATCATGACATTTCAGCACATTCCCTGCGGAGGAGTCTGCAGGCCTGCTAGCTGCTGCCATAGTGAGGCAGGGTAGCCCTACCACCAATGCTATGGTGGACAGATCAACCCAGGGTACAAGGAGACAATAAACAACGTAAACCCCAAATAATATTATAAGCCCCTCAGCTGACTGATGGACTCCTTTGCTCTTGGCCAAGGGAATTCCAAAGTAAACCTGAAAAAACTAGTTCAGGCCATGATAAGAAGAGGAGGTCGGATATGCCTCACTATACTCTCCTCCTTTGGAATTCAGGCACAACTAAACAATATTAACCTTAAAACAAATCTCAGCATTTTGGGAGGCCGAGGCGGGCGGATCACAAGGTCAGGAGATCGAGACAATCCTGGCTAACACGGTGAAACCCCGTCTCTACTAAAAATAGAAAAATTAGCCGGGCGTGGTGGCAGACGCCTGTAATCCCAGCTACTCAGGAGACTGAGGCAGGAGAATGGCGTGAACCCGAGAGGCGGAGCTTGCAGTGAGCCGAGATCGTGCCACTGCACTCCAGCCTGGGGGACAGCATGAAACTCCCTCTTAAAAAAAAAAAAAATTAAAACAGAGATCTTAAGACTAATAAAGCAGACTTTTTATAGCAATAAGATACCAAATTCCAGCCTGACTCTAGTGTAGTATCACATGACAGATAGTAAGCCCTGAAGGAAATTGAAATATTTTACCCCAACATATACTTCTTTGATGTATTTTGAAATGGTTCTGCAAAGCTGTCTCTTGTGTGGAAAATCTACATTCTGTAGAGAATCCCCACCCTTTCCAGGTCTTCTCCCTGATCCGGGAGAAAATTAACTAAGAGTCTGGTGCCTTTGAAGGTCTGACAAGAGCTCCGAAGCCAGCTACCTAGAGACTTCATCTGCATAATAAGAACCTTGGTCTCCACAACCTCGTATCTTAACCCAGACATTCCTTTCGATTAATCCCAGGTCTCCACCTATGACCTGGAACCACCACCCCTTCGAATTGTCCCACCTTTCTGTACATAACTATTACTTGAAAGGGGTCCCAATCCAGACTCCAAGAGAGGGTTCTTGGACATCGTGCAAGAAAGAATTCCAGGTGAGTCCACAGAGTAAAGTAAAAGCAAGTTTATTAAGAAAATAAAGGAAAAAAGAATGGCACCACACCCTGGGCCTGGTAGTTAAAGATCGACCCCTGACCTAATCGGTTATTTGCATAAAAAAGCACTGTGAAGATCCCTGTCCTGTTCTGTTCCATTCTAATTACCTGTGTATGCATCCCCCAGTCTCGTCCCCACTGCTTGCTCAATCGATCACCACCCTCTCACATGGACCTCCTTAGAGTTGTGAGCCCTTAAAAGGGACAGGAATTGTTTACTTGGGGAGCTCGGCTCTTGAGACAGGAGTCTTGCTGATACTCTCAGCCGAATAAACCGCTTCCTTCTTTAACTCAGTGTCTGAGGGGTTTTTTCTGCGGCTCTTCCTGCTACATCCCTAAAATGTATAAAACCAAGCTGTAGCCCAACTACCCTGGGCACATGTTCTCAGGATTTCCTAGGGCTGTGTCATGTGCTGTTGGTCACTCATATTTGGCTCAGAATAAATCTTTTCAAATATACAGAGTTTTACTCTTTTTGTTGATAAACAGTGGGAAAATTCACAGCACCCACGAGAGCCAAGGGTGTCCTCAAAAGGATCGGGGGTTGAGGGAACAGATACTGGACAGACATACCAGCTTTGACCTCAGCAGCAGGATGCCCAGAGGCGGTAGGCTGGAGACTTACAAGGAAGTTCGGACTAACTGTAAAAATAGAGGAAACTATTGGGTTTTTGTACAGGTCGTGGCGAGTGTGTGTACACTGAACATCAATGTTGTGAGTTATTCTCAATTGTGCATGAGCTCTCACGGAACTCTGGAAAGAAACTTTGGAGTCAGACAGATCTGGTTCCAGTTGAAAAATTCCCATAACCTTTTTTATGGAGTGAAGGGAAGGTTCCCTTTCCCTGTTGAGTGAGGTAACAAGTAAATGCCTGTCTCCCTGAAGTGGGGAGATAATTAAATGAGGGGACAAGCAAAGGATGGTGCCCAGGCCTGGTGCCTCCCTTCATTATAAGCTGAGCTGCAGTTTGCTAAGTAAATAAGGTGGGAGAGTCATTTCTGATCAATGTTGGGGTCTATAAAACACTTTTGAAAGAAGAGCGTGGTGACTGGGAGTGAAGTGTGGGACTCACGCCCAGAGTGGTTTGCCAGTAAAGGGTGGAGATGCTCCAGGCAATTTCCTAACTGGCCTTAGAAATTACAAATTAAATTGAAAAAAAAAAGTCTTCCTTACAAATTCCCCAGTGTGTCAGGTGTGTCTCTGGAGAACTTTTCTTCTCAGGAAGGGAGGCAAGTTTTCAAAATCACCTTTGGAAATCATCTAAAGCCTCAAATTTGAGTATTTTTTGTACCAAAACTGCTTATGCTCAAAACTAACAGGTGTTCCTGTTAAAATGCCTCTCATTTTCACCTTTCTCAGCTCAACATGAGATTTTGAATTTTCTAAAGAGCCCGAGGTGTTTCTTCCTTTTTTAAAGCAAGAATTTGACAGCTCTCTTTGAAATGTTAAAAGCAGGTGAAAATCTGTGAACAGTGATTGTCCCTGGGGAGTGGAGTTGAGGCAGAACTTACACTTTACGCCCTGTGTTATTTAAATTAATGTGGCATGGATTGCTTCAGTCATTTTTCTGTAAGTGTTTTAAAAGCAGGTAGAATTTTTTGACATCTGAATCTTTTCTTCCTTAGAAATATATGGTCCTAGGAAAACCTGCAAATCTGTGAATTGTATGTGTGAGTAGGGAAGGAAGAGAGCCCCTGAGATAGGAAATTCTTCCTGCTCTTAGCAGAGACTAGTGCGCTTAGTCTCTGTTCTTCAGTGAGAAGAAGAGCTGTGTTGAGAACCTAAAGTCTTTCTGACTCCATGGCTGAGTGGTTGAGGGATCTTGAGAAAATGACCGAAGACCTGGTTCAGTTGATCAGTGGATCCAGATGAATCTTTCTCTTCACTAACCTCAGAATCTGCCCCTAATTCCTGCACCACTGCTAAGCGATTACAGTGAGCTTTAAGAGTTGGCCTAGTCCGTAGCTGAACTCTGTCAGCTAGCTTGTTCTTTTCCCCTCTGATGATGGTTTGCCAAAAGCAGCAAGGAACTATTTCAACAAAAAACAGGTAACAGGTGAGTGCTAGCTGAAGGTGTGATGCTGCCCAGAGAACTCATGACAACACCCTCAAATGAGCCCTGAGAAAAATAAAATTGTGGTGCTGATCCTTGATATGGAACATGGATGTAATTCTAACCTTAGGAAGCACCGTTAGGGAATGTTGCTGAGTTTATTAACCCTTAGCAGGCATTCCAAATAAGAGCAGTGTCCCAGCTAGCAATGCAGCCTCAAGAGGAACCCCACCTCTTCCTCACCCTCAAGCCTCTCCTGGGCTCCAGCTCTGCAATTGTCCCTGGTAGACTCCTGGGGTCTTCCTGCCCCTATCCTCTGCTGTGGCTGCTGTCCACTTCGCACAGATATCAGGACTCAGAGCATAGCCTGCAAAGAGTCTCTCTGGGGCCAGTCAGGTAACTGACATAGCATGATGTGTAGTTCAAAGAAACCAGTTTATTTATGTGGATCAATTTTAGTTTTTGCAAATGCATAAAAGCATGAGGGCAGCCCATCAAAATGTCTCCTGCCATTGATTTGCCCACTGAGCAGCCTGAGCACGTGGTTTAAATTGCTTCTCTAATCTGTGACAAAAATAGAAGACCAATGAAGTGCACCATTGGCCAGTATCTGGCAGTGGGCAATGTCTGAATTGGCTTCCAGGAACCAGGGAGATCCTGAAGTGTTGAACCAGGTACTGGCATCTTCCCATATGTCCTTCAAGCTAGGAACAAGCATCAGATTTTTTGGTTAGAAGTTCATCCTTAGGCCGGGCGCTGTGACTCACACCTGTAATCCCAGCACTTTGGGAGGCCGAGGCGGGCGGACCACCTGAGGTCGGGAGTTTGAGACCAGCTTGACCAACATGGAGAAACTGTCTCTACTAAAAATACAAAATTAGCCAGGCATGGTGGCGCATGCCTGTAATCCCAGCTACTCAGGAGGCTGAGGCAGGAGAATCTCTTGAACCCGGAGGGCGAAGGTTATGGTGAGCTAGGATCGTGCCATTGCATTCTAGCCTGGGTAACAAGAGTGAAACTCCGTCTCAAAAAAAAAAAAGACGGTCATCGTTATTAAGGCAAAGGACAGGTGGGCACCACATTGCAAGGGCAAACGCAGTTCTGTGCATGACACAAAATTCACATTTTTTCTTTTTCTTTCTTTCTTTTTTTTTTTTGAGATGGAGTCTCGCTCTGTCACCCAGGCTGGAGTGCAGTGGCATGATCTTGGCTTACTGCAAACTCTGCCTCCCGAGTTCAAACAATTCTCTTGCCTCAGCTTCCTGAGTAGCTGGGATTACAGGCACGCGCCACCATGTCTGGCTAATTTTTGTATTTTTAGTGGAGATGGGGTTTCACCATGTTGGTCAGGCTGGTCTCAAATTCCTGACCTCATGATCCACCCACCTCAGCCTCCCAAAGTGCTGGTATTACAGGCGTGAGCCACTGCACCCAGCCAAAATTCACATTTTTTCTTCAGCCAGGGGCAATCCCCAACCCATGCTCAACAACTTGGAAACAACCTCCCACACATCTTAGCATTGTCATTGCTGGAAGAGAATTTGCATGCTCCTCAATTCTTATATCCTCTAGGCATTGGGCTTGCTTTCCTCCTCTTGCTCAAGTCTGACCTTCCGGATGACAGCTTGCTGGGGCCAGGTGGGCAGGTGTCACAGTGGACCTTCAGCACACCCAAGACATTGCAGAGCTCTGCACTGCTCAGAGCTGACCAGAGAGGCCCGACCACGCATAAAGGTGCAACAGGCCCACATGGCCTGCCCCTACCCACAGGGATCCTGCCCATCATTTCCCCTGGGCTCAGGTCTTGAGTCTCCAGCAGCTCACTATCCAGTGGGAAACAACAGGCTGAGGTAAAGGTCACAGCATGCATTAACACTACCTGTACCAGGGGCCAGGGAAGGCTTCAAGGCAGGGAGATTCTTGAGCTGGGGCTGGAAGCATGAGCAGAGCTGGTTTTATAGCAGGATGAGCTGCAGACAAAACCTCTCAGACACTGAGTTGTGGAAGGAAGGGCTTTATTCAGCTGGGAGCATCAGCAAGCTACTGCCTTAAAATCCAAGCTCCCCAAATACTCAATTTCTGTCCCTTTTAAGGGCTCACAACACTAAAGATTTCACATGAAAGGGTCGTGATTGATTTGAGCAAGCAGGCGGTACATGACAGGGGCTGCATGCACCAGTGGTCAGAGAGAAACAGAACAGGGCAGGGAGTTTCACAATGTTCTTCTATACAATGTCTGGAATCTATGAATAACATCAGTTTCTAAGTTATGAGTTGATTTTTAACTACTGGGTTTAGGCCAGACAGGCCCAGGCCTGGTTTCAGGCCTGGCACCAGGCTGCCTGTCTTTGGTTTTACTTCCTTGTCACTTTTTCTTAAAAGAGGTACTGAGTATAAAACAATATAAAACAATATGAGAGGGTCTCTCTCTCTTCCCTCATTTCCCCCCTTTGAGACTCTCAGTTTTTATTAGTGGGAGTTCTGAGTCTTATTTTTGCTACTTATGTCTTTTTGTGCAATAGATTGATAGTGATTTATATAGTATGCTTCTGCTAAAGCATTTTGGTGAACTAAGGTCGTGACAAAGTTTTTTATCATTTGGAGAAATACAGGTATCAGACAAAGGAGCAGTAAGCAGGTTTCTATTACTATTATTACTCTTATTATAAGAGTTTTAAATTTTTTCATTGCTGGGAACCAATTTGCAAACATGGCTCCCGGATTGAGCCCATGCCACACTTGCATGGGTACATGTGCCAGTTTTGTTATATCTTTAACTATATTTTTAACTACTTGCCCTTAATCATTTATGTGTAGACAACAATTAGTAAGGTTAAATTTTTTACAAACTTCTCCTTCAGCTGCTAGCAAGTAGTCAAGAGCTAGTATATTTTGATAGATAAAATTTCTCATCAGAGTCTCTTGCCGGGCAAGAACAGTCAAGGCTTGACCGGTTTTATTAGTAATAATTTCTAAAACCGCTTGTAACTGTATGATTCGGTTGAGCATGTAGATGGGGGTTCGATATCCTCATGAGCCATCTTGTGCCTAAGTGGTGGGTCTATAGTATTGTATGATTCTTTCAGGGGGCCATTCATTATTTTCTAATCACCTATGGCTATGCTTCATTTTTCACGGGAAGCATAGACTAGGAAGCCTAGAAGTTCACCTGTTTTTATTGGCAGTAAGAAGAAAGATGGCTTAATGGTGCCAATTACACAGCTACCTGTCCAATTACACAGCTACCTGTCCACTGATCAGGCAGCTTAGCATAAGGTCAGTTGAAGTCCTTACTGTACAAGTCCAAATTTTAAGGAAAATTATTCCCGCGATGAGTTTCCTCATGCTTCGGCCATGCGTGAACCAGTCAGCTTCCGGGTGTGACCGGAACAAGGCTTGTCGTCTTCTTCAGAGTCACTTTGCAAGGGTTGGCAAAGCTGCTCCCATCCACGTACAGCTCCCAGTCTACTGATGTTTAAGGGTGGTCTCGGTGGTTGGGCCTACGAGAATAAACTGAGTCCAATACTTCTACACAGTTATGTTTAACTGGGCTCTCTGATACCGGGAGCAAGGTGGCGGAGTTTAGGGTGTTGCAAACTTCAATGGTTATGCGGGGATTTTCACAGAGCAAGCTTTGGTATCTAGTTAGTCTAGCATTCATTAGCTAATGGTGTCCTTTGGTATTTATTAAAATCACCACAGCATACGAGGACTTTAGGTTTTGCCTAAGAGTTAGCTTATTTGCTTCTTGTACTAACAGGGCCATTGCTGCCAGGGCCCTTGCACATGGGGGCCAGCCTTTGGAAACCCCATCAGTTGTTTTGAGAGATAGGCCACTGGCCTTGGCCAGGGCCCTACAGTCTGGGTTAAAACTCCAACTATCATTTTTTCTCTTTCTGACACATAGAGTGTAAAGAGTTTCATCAGGTCAGGTAGCCTCAGGGCTGGGGCCAACACAATTTTTTCTTTTAAATTCATGAAAAGCTCATTGCTGTTGGTTGTAATAGATGTAGTTTATCTAATCTGCATTTTTATTGACTGTCATCTACCAAGATATTGATTTAAATCTTGTAACTATTTGATTTCAAGCTTTAAATTGATCTGGTATTCCTTGCGGGGCTTCAATTGCATCTAAATAGATGTGAGAGTTGAAAGACCTATAAGGGGCTTCTCTCACTTTATGATTTTTATTTTATTTTATTTTTTTCTTCCTCTGGTTGATGAAGTGCCAGGGTAAAAGGGATAGCCAAATGGACTAAAGCACAAGTGCCACTCTAGTTATTCAGCAGAGTGCCCAGTAAAGGTCCACCACAATACCACCACACATCCACTCGGGGATGAACAAGGGCTGACTGATTGATAAGCTCTTGAAAATTCTTAAGCTCACTGCATCCCTTCAGGTCTCCAAGGAATGCTAAGTCTCCTCCCTGCCACGAGAGACAAGAAGTGAACTTAGCGTTGGGAGACAGAAGCTGGATGGCCTTCGGGGGCTGACCCTCAGGGACTTCAGGATATAGCAGAGAGAGCTTGGCATGACTTATTACTCCAGGCTGTAGAATCCTGGAAAACAGCTACCATGCAGCCCACGCCTGGTCGACTGGAGGACCACCTTAGTGGAAGGGGGACAATCAGGGCCTCTGGCCTGCCATGTGCACAAGCATAACAATTGCTTTTGTTTAATGTGCAGATGGAATATTTGATCCATTTCAACCAGGCATTTGCATCTTGGTATGCTGTCTTAATTTCCAAAGTTTGTTTTAAGTCTTTAACTTCTATGATCCTCTAGTAAAAGGAATGTTTCCTTTAGTACCTATTTTTATTAGTTTTTAGACCAAAGAAAGTTAAACACCATTTTATATTTAATAATGCTTCTTGTATGATTTTTATACCAGATAAGCTAAATTTTACCTTTATATTAGTGTGTTATTAATGTTAAACTTAATTTTAATAAAACCTTGTAGATATATTTATCCAATTTTTCATGTTTGACCATAAGGTGAGATTTTATAGACTCTTTTTAACCTTTTATAATTTTTGTTAAAGAGCAGGTTGATGCTTTAAGAAAAACCTGTTGCATTTTTACTTTAATGTCCAGTTCACAGAAAAGCTGGATGATACCTTTTTAACTTTAGCTAATATGTTTATACACAGAATTTTCTTTACAATTAAAGTTTTAAAACTTGCTTAAACTTTCAAAACAATAATTTTTTAACCTTTTAATGTTGGTAAAAATCCACATTCTTATGCCTCCTTATAATCTTTTTACCAAAGGTATATTTTACTATTTTTATACACCTTGCACATAAACTGTTTCTTCAATAGTAGTACTCAGGAGGCTTTTTTGCATAAATTTTTTTATAACATTTTTTCTTTCACAACTTTCGCCGACAATTCTTCAACATGCCTCAACTTTCTGACTTATTACAAACATTTTTTTTCTTTAAACAACCAGTTAATTTATTTCAGGACAAGAATTTACCATATAACACTCTTTTTACATAAATTCTGCCTCCCCCCCGCTTTTTTTTTTGAAGATAACCATTCCTTTTTTTAAAGCGAACTTTCTTTATGTCTTTGGACTAGACTCTCTAAGGCCACAAGATTAGAAGTTACCACAATATATGTTATGCTGTTAACTTTTAGCAAACTTCACTTTTGTTGAAAACCTTGTAAGTTTGGGATTTCAATTATCCTTTGCTATTAATAAGACCTTGTTTAGTCTAAATTAACTTAGAATTGGTATAGATGGCCTCTTTTTTTTTTTTCTCTGCTGGTCTTTCCTTGCCTCTCCCAACTGCTTATGCTGCTGTTCTTTTAACTACTGTGGAGGGGAAGGGGGTCTAAAACCAGCTGTAACTGTCTATGTATGGAAACTGGTCTGGGTGCCTTGGCTTACAGGTTGCCCTGTGTCATACCGTTGAAACAAGGGACCTGTCCAGGCTTCTTTCTGATGACCAACCCACTCTAATGCTGGCCAGTCTATTTCACACAAAGTTCTAAGTTTTCCTGGTGTCACAGTAACATCGTAATCTCCCTTAAATTCTTTCTTGAAATTTTTATTTTTTTTAACATAGTTCCTAGTGGGGTGGGCTTATTTTTGCCTGACCCATGCTTCTTCAAGACAAAACACCATGTTCACACCACACACACACCACAAAACAAAAAACAGGTAAAAAGGGCACACACACACTTTTGCAGTTTACACCAAACCAAAATCAGAGTATCCAGAAATCCAAGCCAGGTCAAAACTAAAACCAAAGTATCACACAATCTAAGTCAAGTCAAAACCAGAACAAAAGTGTCAATGCAGGCATGCCGTGGGTGATCAGGCCATGTTTCCACCCAGATGGAGTAGGGCAAGTTCCAAAGACTAGTCTTACCAACTCAAGCCAAGTCAAAACCAGAACAAAATGCCAATACAGGCACACTGTGGGTGATCAGGCCACGCTTCCACTCAGATGGAGTGGGGCAAGTTCCAAAGACTAGTCTTACCAAGTTGTAGATGTCCGGACTCCAAGTGCCAGTTCCTTCCTGGTGTTCAGCCACTGTGTTAATCTTCCGTGGGGGCCTGCTACACGCTGCTCTGGCAAGGCGTTCCATTGGGGCAATTGCCTACCCGGGAGCGCTCTTTGGATCACGTCACTCAGGCTGGCCGGAGTTCCCCTCACGGATGCTCCACAGGGCAGGCCTAAGCCGCCTAAGGGGCTGCCTCGGCCATCCGTCAGTCACCTCGTTTCCCAGTCAGGGAACCAAGAAATGTAGCAGGGTGAGCCGCAGACAAAACCTCTCAGACACTGAGTTGTAGAAGGCAGGGCTTTATTCAGCTGGGAGCATCGGCAAGCTACTGCCTTCAAATCTGAGCTCCCTGAATACACAATTTCTGTTCCTTTTAAGGGCTCACAACACTAAAGATTTCACATGAAAGGGTCGTGATTGATTTGAGCAAGCAGGCGGTACGTGACAGGGGCTGCATGCACCGGTGGTCAGAGAGAAACAGAACAGGGCAGGGAGTTTCACAATGTTCTTCTATACAATGTCTGGAATCTATGAATAACATTGGTTTTTAAGTTATGAGTTGATTTTTAACTACTGGGTTTAGTCCAGGCAGGCCCAGGCCTGGTTTCAGGCCTGGCGCCGGGCTGCCTGTCTTTGGTTTTACTTCCTTGTTTTTTCTTAAAAGAGGTACTGAGTATAAAACAATATAAAACAATATGAGAGGGTATCTCTCTTCCCTCAGTTTGGGAGTGGAGGTTTGAGAGCAGCCCAGGCAGAGGCTCATCAGGGTGCATGGGAAACATCCTAATTTCTTCCGAAAAATATTCCTCCTACCCACCACCTCTCATAGGCCCAGGGGCTCTGAACCCTCTGACACCATCTGAGGCCAGAGCCTAGCAAGTGTTCAGGCACCCATGCACCATTATTAAAGGGAACTCAGACCCACTCTGATGGAAAAGGAGCCCAAAGCATTCCTGTCATCAGTCTCTACCCGGCTGAAGGATCCCCCGGCCTCCCTTTTGCCAGTCTGATTCCTCTGCTGGTCCAGGAAGCCCACCATGACCTGGCCTACCATGCCAGGCCATCTCCGACCCAATCTTATTCCATCTCTGCAGAGTGTCCCCTCCCTCCCCCACCTTCTGACTGAGCAACCTACGTCCCCTTCCTTCAGTATAGACAGCACTTACAATGCTGTGAGACAGTCACTTGTCTGCACAGCTTCCTCCACCAACAGGAGCTCCTTGAGGCGAGGCACAGTGTCTTCTGTGTCCCTGGAGCCAAGCGCATGGCTCAGCCCAGGTCACGTGTCCAGTGAATGGGTGGCATCTGAGCCTCCTGCACCTGTGGTCAGACTTTCCCCCATGCCTGCCCTGGGCAGAGGCTCCTCTCTTCCAGGCCTTGTTCAGGGTGACCCTGTACTTGAAGTGTCTTCTCATTTCATCACTGTCTTAAACATCAAAGTCCACCTGTGGCCCCACCTCCTTTAAGAGCTGTGTGAGCACCTTGGTGCAGATGGCTTCTCATACATGCCTCAATACAGGCTTGTGAGAGAGATAGTCCTGTGCCCATTTCACAGATGGGAAGCCGACTCAAAGACATTCAAGGACAAGTTTGATGTCACACTGCTAAGTGGCAGAACCAGGACTCAAACCCAGGTCATCTGACTCCAGGACCTGTGCTCTCTACATCTCATTGGTTACTCAAGACTCATCCTTGGATCAGAACCTGCAAGGGTTTTATGATCCTTTTTCCAGACACAGCTGAGGAATGAGCAGGAAGAGCTGCATTTGATAGGATTATTACTGACACTAAAAGTTAACGTTCAACTCTAGACAGTGGCTCTTCCTGGGCAGTTGGTTCCTGCTCTCACCACTGAAGCCAGTTCTGAAACCTCTCTGGGCTGGGCATTTACAGCTTTCTGTGTTACAGGTTACTAAATGCATCTTGAAAGGCTGGTTTTCCTCTTGGGAGGGGCTGACTTTACCCTTTAGGAGAATTGCAAGGCTACTAGGGCTCTGCCCATTGGGAAACACCTCTCTATGACTCTATAAATGTCCAAGGTGGCCCCAAGGGAGGACTTCTGCAGCACAGCTCCCTTCCCAGGACGTGAAAATCTGCCTTCTCACCATGAGGCTTCTAGTCCTTTCCAGCCTGCTCTGTATCCTGCTTCTCTGCTTCTCCATCTTCTCCACAGAAGGTAGGGCAGCCCCCAGGGTGCAGATCCCTGAGCAGGATTTCAGCATCTGGGAAGACTCTGATCAGGATTTGTTGGAGGGCAGGCCTTGGCGGGCAGGCCTTGGCAGGCAGTCCTGAGCCCCGGAAAGATGGGCTCTTTCTCCTGAACCTATAGGTTTGGGGCTCAGGACTGCCTGCAGGTGGCTTGGGGGTTCCATTCACAGCCCCTGCACCCCCAAATACATACCCAGCCTAAGTAAAGTGGTGTGTTCGCCATGCAAACACACATACAACCTCTCAGCTAGATTACTGTGCTTAAGTCCTACCTATCTAGAATTTCTGGAGCCATTCTCTTGTACTTGTGTCATGCTTGGAACAGAGTAAATTAGTGTTGGGCAAATGAATACATTAATTAGTAGACCATCTAAGTCTGAACATCCCAAAACCTCATGCCCAGAAAATATCCATGAGCAGCTGAAATGAAGGTGTGTGTGGTAGGGAGGTGGGGTATGTTTATGCATGTTTAGAAGGGGACACCATCTTTTTACCTCTATAGATATGAATATTTAGCTCTCTTGCCCTTTTTTCTTTTTTCTTTTTTTTTTTTTTTTTGAGATGGAGTCTTGCTCTGTCACCCAGGCTGGAGTGCAGTGGCGCTATCTCAGCTCACTGCAATCTCCGCCTCCTGGGTTCAAGCAATTCTCTGCCTCAGCCTCCCAAGTAGCTGAGATTACAGGTGCCCACCACCAAGCCCAGCTAATTTTTGTATTTTTAGTACAGACAGGTTTCACCATCTTGGCCAGGCTGGTCTTGAACTCCTAACCTCGTAATCCTCCCACCTCGGCCTCCCAAAGTGCTGGGATTACAGGCGTGAGCCACCATGCCTGGCTGCCTTTCTTGATTCAGATAGCTGAGTGTTTCAATCCATTTTTCTCTTGTCTAACCCTCTAGAAACTGCCTACATTTATTTTTTGTTTTAGTGGTTATGGTTACTCAAACTTTTGGGTGGGGGGAGCTGGAGCTATAGAAATATATAAAGAGAAGAAAAACACTCAATTCCATGATTCAAGAGTAGCCATGTTCAACATTTTGTTTATTTCCTTGCATGTAGAATTTTTAAAAATTAATTGATGTACCTATATGTTCAAGGTTATATCTTTTTTATTTATCACTATATATATTGTTATAATCACCCAAAATGCTTATGATTGAAGATATTCTGGAAGCATTTACAACCCAGTGTCAGCAGCAGCCATCTCTGAGTAGTGGGATTATAACAAGTGTTTGTTTTACAAAGTTTCTGCGATGAAAATGTGCCACATATATAATAAGGAAAACAGTGATTAGAATTCCTCATAAACACAGCCCGTGACATGCAATTTATCAGACCTCTATTTTTGGACATGTTGGAGGTTGCCAGTGATACCCTAGTGACAATTAAATGAGGATAGATACCTTCCCCCATAAAGTTTCCTATCCATTTAGGACTATCTGTAGCAAACTCTTGAAGTAGCATTAATCAACTAATATTTTCAGGTATAACTTGCTACAAGTGAACGTACTATGATGAATTTACATGCTTAGACATTTAGATAGTTCACAATTGTGTGCTTTTCCTTTTTTGAAGCAAGATCTTGCTCTCTTGCCCAGGTCGGAGTGCAGTGGCATGACCACGGCTCAGTGCAGGCTTGACTTCCAGGGCTCAAGCAATACTCGCACCTCAGGTTTTCCAGTAGCTGGGAAAACAGGTGCGCACCACAATGCCCTGCTAATTTTTAAAATTTTTTGCAGAGACGAGGTCTCTCTAAGTTGCCCAGGCTGGTCTTGAACTTCTGGACTCAAGCCATCCTCCCACCTTGGCCTCCCAGAGTGCTAGGATCACAGGCATGAGCCACCACACCTGGCCTACTTTGCACATTTTAATTATGTGGTAAAAGGTATATATGTACATAAAGTATGTCCTTTATTCAGGCTTTTTTTCTTTTTTTCTTTTTTTTATTTTTTTGAGACGAAGTTTTTGCTCTTGTTGTCCAGGCTGGAGTGTAATGGCATGCTCTTGGCTCACCACAACCTCCGCCTCCCGGGTTCAAGTGATTCTCCTGCCTCAACCTCCTGAGTAGCTGGGATTACAGGCATGCACCAACATGCCAGGCTGATTTTGTATTTTTAGTAGAGATGGGGTTTCTCCATGTTGGTCAGGCTGGTCTCGAACACTCGACCTCAAGTGATCCGCCCACCTCAGCCTCCCAAAGAGCTAGGATTACAGGCATGAGCCACCACACCCAGCTCAGGCTTATTTTCTTAGGCTAGATTGCCAAGGGGAGAATTATTATGTCAAAGAAACTACTTATTGGACAGGAATCTGAAAAGGATGTGTTTTGGGGCCATGTGTCTCCCAACATTGTTATTTCTGAAAAGTAAATCACAACAAGGCCCACTCTTTCCCTAGGACCTCTCGTAGCCTGGCTCATCCTGAGTTTCTCTGGATAAATATTCCTGAGCCCTGTGCCTTGGAAGGGGAAGCTCACTCACAGACAAGCCCACTAAAGACAGTCTCTCTTCCTTTGTGTCCACCCTCAGGGAAGAGGCGTCCTGCCAAGGCCTGGTCAGGCAGGAGAACCAGGCTCTGCTGCCACCGAGTCCCTAGCCCCAACTCAACAAACCTGAAAGGTAAGTACCCCCACCTCGTCCAGACTGTGGGGCAGAAGTTCTACAGTGGCCATGGGACCAGCCACACACACTGATCAGCCCCCACCCATGGCTGGCATCAGGCTCTGGCTGGGAGGACATCTTTGTTTTGTTGATTAATTTGTTGACTCCCCCCCAAAAGTCAACAAATTAATCATTTTAAACTGAATACATTCTGCCATGGAAAAAAAGCAGGATGCAATTAGAAGATGTTGTGTGGAAACACACTTACTTTAGGTGGGAGGTGTCTGAGGAGGTGACATTTATGAGACCTGGCTCATTTATGAGCCAGGAGCCTGGCTGAGGACTGTGGAGGTGGGGGATGCAGGCAGAGGAGGCAGCAAGGGTGAAGGGCAAGAGTGGGGTATGGAAGACAGATGGTAGCAGGGCTTGAGAGGTACTCCCAGAAGCTAAGGACCAAAGCTGCCTGTGAACCCTGTGGACCTGGGGCACAGATCAGCATGCAGGTCACCAGCAGGGGAGTGGGCCTGAGGGTCCAGAGAGCCATAGCTTGGCAGGAGATAAGGCAGCCCCAGAGATGCCAGCAGGCAGCATCCAGGCTGCATGACCAGAACGAGGCCCAGAAGAGCAAGGCTGCCCTCTCCCTGAGGCCTGGGGACACTGGGAGGCCTGTGGCGGACAGGCCCAAGCTCAGGAGGGCTGCGGGCACCCAGTTCCCTGCACAGGGGCTGCAGGCCCAGAGCAGATATTCACTGGAGTTGCCCAGCCCAGGTGGAAGGGTCAGGCTGCTGGAGCTTGGGTAGGGCAGGCAGATCCCCAAGGGGAGACTGTGGACCCTGAGTCAGACAGCCTGACACCAACCTGGGGCTCCTGCCTGAACTCTGCAGCCCCAGTGCCCACTCTCAAGAGGCTGAGGAGGTCCCGGCCCCACTTGCTCCTCTGCGGCCATGGCCCATGGGGTCCATGACCAGCGCCGGAGCCTCCATGCCTTTCCCAGCTACCAAGGGGATGCTCAGCTGTGATGCAGGAGAGGGATAGAGGGAGGAAGCAAGACAGCATGACTCCAGCCGCAGACCTTCTCCCGGAGATGCTGACAGCCCTTTCTTCCAAACTGGCATCACACCCAGCCGGCCAGGATAAAAATAACCAGCTCTCACACACCTCTTGCTGAACCAGTGTGAGGTGCCAGCCCAGGCAGGATGCAGGGTGAGCGCAGGCTGTGGCTCTGCTCCCCCAGGCCCCTGGTTCTGTGAAAGAAGGTGAAAACCTTCCAGAGAGAGGTGGAGGCGAGCCCCAAGAGCTCACACCCTCCCCCTCCACTTCCCCTCTCCTGCACCAACTGCTCAGAGGCAGGAAGTTGAGGGGGTGTGTGAGCCCCCACCACAGACACACACACAACAAACCAAAACACATAAACACAAATACCTACACACATAAGTAGATACACACCACACAACCACACACACAGACACACACAAATACATGCGCACACAGACTCACACCACACACTACAGACACACAGACACATACACGCTACACAACTACACACAGAAACACAGCATATACACACAACACACGGTATAGTGATACACACCTAGACACATATACACAGCACAAACACACACCACACAACTACACACACAGACACATACTACATGCACTCTACACACACACACCACGCACTATACATACAAACACACGGACACATACACACTACACAACTACACAAACAGACACACACTATACACACAAACACACTACATGCACATACACACTACACACAATCATACACACATAGACACATGCACACAGCACACACACGTATACCAGACACAGACACATACACAAGTACATCTACACACAAACACATACCACACAACTATACACACAAACACACATAAATACATACACACAAATACACAACACTACACAACTATACACACAGACACACACACAAATACATGCACACACAGACACACACCACAATACACTCACAGACACTACACATGGACAAGCAATTACACACACACACTACACAACTACACACACTACACTCCTATGCTACACACAGCACACACACACTACACACACAGATGGACAGATATACACCCAAGCACACACAGTGCATAGGAGACGTGGCCATGTTAACTCCCGTGCAAGTACACGTGCATCCGTTTTTTCAGTTTTGTTACTTCTGGAGAATAAATCTAGGTGTGTGGCTTCTGTGCTGAGACTGGATTTCTTTCTGTGTGTATATTTTTAAAATTCCATTGTTGAAATTTATGAACAACTTAGAACAAGAAGAGCAAAACAAACATATGTATTGGGTCCTTGCCATGTGATCTCATTTAAATCCTTGAGACCACCGTGGGGAGGTCTCGTCACCATTATATAGATTGGGAAACTGAGACTGAGAAAGAAACTGAGGCAGAGTCAGAAACTAGGATCTTTCCACCTCTTTCCACTACAACAAACTGCTTCCCCTGTGGACAGAAAGTGTTCTGTAGCCGGTGTATGAAGACATGCGCGTGCAAGCCAGACGGCTGACTTCCCAGAAGGAAATAGCCATCTGGGCTGGGATCTCAGCTCCACCACCCACTGGCTGTGCCTTGGAGCAAGTCACCCAGCACTGCTAAGCCTCAGTCTCCCCCTCTGTGAAGAGGGAGTTATAATAGAATCTGCCTCACTGGACCATGATGAGCCGTCGATGGGTTCATGTCTATACAGGACTTGGCATCAAGCCTGCCACATGGTGCCCCGTAAACATGTCCTGCTGTTGCTATGGAGACAGACCCAGCCCTGCCAGGGCTGCTGGCACAGGAGATGAGCAACTCCAACACCGACAACCAAAGCCTGCACGTTCTTGTCCAGGCTTGGTGGTTCCACCTTCTGTCTTATGGACTGATGCTGGGATTCAGCAAGGAGGGAGATGAATCAGTGTTCCCAGGGTGTTGTGTAAGCAACGCCAGGATTGCTGAGTGTGCCAGGCTCCAGAAATCTGGCCTCGTGTGCTCCAGTTCACTGATGTATGACAAAGCCCGTGCATCTGTCTGTAGAAATGCAAATTAACTCAGAGTTGCCTAGAGGGTGTTCCTGAGCCAACAACACCAGCTATGACACACACTTGCTGAATACTGACTACTCCTCGTTCTATGGTGTCTTTCTTGAGTACTGCTTTATATCTCAGCACTGTGGTAGGCCCATGGGGATGACAATATGTGGAAGGCCCAGGACTCTGGGTCAATGGGACAAAAACATCTTCAAAAATCAACATGCTAAATGGCTGATTTGCTGAATTTATTACATTTACCAATTTGCTTTAAAAAGGCTTTTTTTTTTTTTTTAGTATTTATTGATCATTCTTGGGTGTTTCTTGGAGAGGGGGATTTGGCAGGGTCATAGGACAATAGTGGAGGGAAGGTCAGCAGATAAACATGTGAACAAAGGTCTCTGGTTTTCCTAGGCAGAGGGCCTTGCCACCTTCCGCAGTGTTTGTGTCCCTGGGTACTTGAGATTAGGGAGTGGTGATGACTCTTAACGAGTATGCTGCCTTCAAGCATCTGTTTAACAAAGCACATCTTGCACCGCCCTTAATCCATTTAACCCTTAGTGGACACAGCACATGTTTCAGAGAGCACAGGGTTGGGGGTAAGGTTATAGATTAACAGCATCCCAAGGCAGAAGAATTTTTCCTAGTACAGAACAAAATGGAGTCTCCTATGTCTACTTCTTTCTACACAGACACAATAACAATCTGATCTCTCTTTCTTTTCCCCACATTTCCCCCTTTCCTATTAGACAAAACCGCCATTGTCATCATGGCCTGTTCTCAATGAGCTGTTGGGTACACCTCCCAGACGGGGTGGCGGCCGGGCAGAGGGGCTCCTCAGTTCCCAGACGGGGTCGCGGCCGGGCAGAGGCGCTCTTCACAACTCAGATGGGGCGGTGGGGCAGAGGCGCTCCCCACATCCCAGATGATGGGTGGCTGGGCAGAGACGCTCCTCACTTCCTAGACGGGATGACGGCCGGGAAGAGGCACTCCTCACTTCCCAGACTGGGCAGCCGGGCAGAGGGGCTCCTCACATCCCAGACGATGGGTGGCCAGGCAGAGACGTTCCTCACTTCCTAGACGGGGTGGCGGCCGGGCAGAGGCTGCAATCTCAGCACTTTGGGAGGCCAAGGCAGGCGGCTGGGAGGTGGAGGTTGTAGCGAGCTGAGATCATGCCACTGCACTCCAGCCTGGGCAACATTGAGCACTGAGTGAACGAGACTCCGTCTGCAATCCCGGCACCTCGGGAGGCCGAGGCTGGCAGATCACTCGTGGTCAGGAGTTGGAGACAAGCCCGGCCAACATGGCGAAACCCCGTCTCCACCAAAAAATACGAAAACCAGTCAGGTGTGGCAGCACGCGCCTGCAATCCCAGGCACTTGGCAGGCTGAGGCAGGAGAATCAGGCAGGGAGGTTGCAGTGAGCCAAGACGGCGGCAGTACAGTCCAGCCTTGGCTCAGCATCAGAGGGAGACCGTGCAAAGAGGAGGGAGAGGGAGAGGCCTGGGCTCAGCATCAGAGGGAGACCGTGCAAAGAGGAGGGAGAGGGAGAGGGCTGGGCTCAGCATCAGAGGGAGACCGTGCAAAGAGGAGGGAGAGGGAGAGGGAGAGGGAGAGGGAGAAGGGCTTTTTTAAAAAATTAAATTTTTTTTTTTTTTTTTAAGTAGAGGCAGGGTTTCACCATGTTGACCTGACTGGTCTCTATCTATTGACCTCGTGATCCACCCACCTCAGCCTCCCAAAGTGCTGGGATTACAGGCGTGAGCCACCATGCCCAGCCTAAAAGAGTATTTAGAAAATTTATAGCAATCTGTATAGCAGCAAGTCTTTTTGTTGTTGTTTTTTAAGAAACAGGATCTTGCTCAGTCACCCAGGCTGGAGTGCAGTGGCACAATCATAGCTCACTGCAGCCTCAAACTCCTGGGCTCAAGTGATCCGCTTCAGCCTCCCCAGTAGCTGGGACTACAGATGCGTGCCATCACACTCAGCTAACTTTTCTATTTTTGCAAAGACAGCGTCTTACTATGATGCCCAGGCTGGTCTTGAACTCCTGGCCTCAAGCAACCCTCCTGCCTTGGCCTCCCAAAGTGCTAAAGCGCTGGGATTACAGGCGTGAGCCACTGCATCTGGCCCAGTTCTTTTAAAGGAAGTTTCAATGTGCTGACTCTATTGGCTCTTTACGGGTGTCAAGCACTATCCCCAAGCCCAGGGGCTGCCCAGGCTTAAGCTGGGGTCAGACTGATGGCTGTGAAGGCCCCACCAGCCAGGAAGTACTGTGGTCCTGAAGCTTCATTCAGGCCACCTTCTTTCTACGCATCCTGGGGCCACGGTGAAGCTATTTGGGAAGACTGGGGAGGTCCTGTGGGAAGTCTGGAGCCTGAGAGGCTGCCCAGGTCCTGAGAGCTCCTTGCCCCCTCACTGTTTTTGAAACCCAGCAAAATGGCTGAGCCCATAGTGGGAGACTCAGGCTGGAAGGGGCACAGAGAGATTCCTCCCTCGCCATAGGGTTGTCTCTGCCTTCAGGAAGGAGCTCGGACTGCATGAACAAATGTTACCCGTTGAGGATATGAGGTTTTCAGCAACGATGATACCAGGATGGACATGAGGGCCCAGAAAATAGACCCTGGAAAGGAGGAGGTGAAGAGGGCTGGCAGCCCATCCTTCCCAGTGGCTCAGTGAAAGGGGCCTCAGACCCATGGTCTTGCTCCTTGTGATTATATCTGTTAGCCATAGCTGCAGAACAACCCACTCCCAATTTTAGTGACCCAAAGCAGTGTTTATTCTTTTCAATGAGTCTACAGGTCAGCTGGATATTTCTTCTAGTCTTGGCTGGACTCATTCTTCTAAGATTTGGATAGGCAGTTCTGCTGATCTTGGCTGGGGTCTCTCATATTTTTGATGTCTGTGAGTCTAGAATGGTCTCGGTTGGAACAACTAGCCTCTCCTCCATGTGGTCTTTCATGCTCTTCGCAGGCGAGCCCAGACTGTTCACGTGGTGTCTGCAGAGTTCCACTTATGTAAATGGAAACACGTAAGGCCTCTTGAGGTACAGGCTCTGAGCTTCCCTCCTTCATCTCTACCACATTCATTCTGGACAAAACAAGTTGCAAGTCCAGTCCAGATTTTAGGAGCAGGCAAATAGACTCCCTATCATGATGGGAGAAACTGCAAAGGAGAGAGGGAGAATTGCAACCATATTTGCAACCAGTCAACCACAAAATTTATTGTAGGAGCCAGAGAAGATAGTCTTGGGATCTGAGGTGAGGAAAGGAGGTGGAGGAGGATCAGGGGTCAGGAAATCATGTGTCTCCACCAGAAATGCTGGTGGAAAATGCTCATGAAATGGTAAGTTATGGAATGGAAAAGAGTAAGTTACGCTATATATTACTAGGATTATCACTATGGGAAGATCAAAGCACTTACCAATAGAAAAAAAAAAACAGAAAAACACACCAATATTATCACTTATTTGTGGTTAAGACATGAGTGGATGGATGAATTATAATTAAATTTATTTCTTTGTATAGCTAGTGCTTATATAGCAATTACTAGGTGTGGGTGGCACTTACATCTGCTAACTCATTTGATCCTTACAATAATCCTAAAAGTTAGATACTATTACTATTCTCACTTCTACAAATGAGGCACCAAGCACAGAAAGGTTAAGTAACTTGTTGAAGGTCCCACAGCTACTAAGTAAGTGATAGATTCAGGCTTTGAATTTAAATAATCTGGCTCACTCCAGATTTCATGATCTTAATTACCACACCACATTTCATATAGTAATAATCTGAAAACAGAAGGAGAAAGAATAATCTCATGACCATAACTTAGTAACCCTTCTCATTCATTTGTGTGTCCTTTGTTTTTCGTACAAACGTGTTTACCTGGTTTTATTTTTAATTAATTATATCTCATTTTTTAATTTTTAAACTTAAGTCGGAATCATTTTTCTTCTTGTTGCTGTGCAGTGTTCATAACCACAGGGTTTTGTCCCCATGAAACATTTCCATCATCATGAATTATCATTAATTTTTTATTTTATTGTTTATTATTTATTTTTTTTTTGAGACAAGGTTTCACTTTGTCACCCAGGCTGGAGTGCGGTGGCTCAATTATGGCTCACCACAGCCTCACCTCCCAGGCTCAGGTGATCCTCCCACCTCAGCCTCCTGAGTAGCTAGGACCACAGGCGTGCGCCACCATGCCTGGCAAATTTTTGTATTTTTGGTAGAGACGGCATTTCATCATGTTGCGCAGGCTGTTCTTGAACCCCTGGGCTTAAGTGATCCACCAGTTTTAGCCTCCCAAACCGCTAGGATTACAGGTGTGAGCCACTACACCTGGCCAAATTATCATTACTAATTAACAATTTCTCTATTATAGGATATTCAGATTGTTTCCAGACACTTTTTTTTCTGCAATTAAAAACAAAACTATGGGCCAGGCATGGTGGCTCATGCCTGTAATCCCAGTACTTTGGGAGGCTGAGGCAGGAGGATAGCTTGAGGCCAGGAGTTCGTGACTAGCCTAGGCGACATAAGGAGACTCCCATCTTTCTTGAAAAAAAAAAAAAAAAACTATAAAAATAGTTTAATGCATGCAGCTTTTTCTTTCTTGTGGATGATTCCTCCCATAAATGGGACTGGTTTGTCAAAAGATGCAAATGTAGTTTTGGGACACGTTGCCTGGCATGTGCCATCTGGAAGGAGACAGCCAGAGGGCCCAAGGGCACACATCCATGTGCAGACCCTCCTACCAGAGTCATTAGAAACAGGCCTCCCAGACCTAAGGCAGCTTAGGTGGGCTCCACTTAGGATCAGCCACCTTCTCTTCCTCTTCTACCAATCAATTAGGTTCCCTCTGATGGGACTGAAATAATCTGGGCTGGTCTTGTTTGCCACGAAAAGCCCCTTCTGGGCCTCCAGGGAAAAGCATAAGATCTAATTCTTGCTTTGAAATTTTTTTTTAAATGTGTTTGAAAATGCAACTTAATTGTGTTTTCCTCTCTCTCCCCACAACCTGGCTCTGACCTCGCCATCTTCCTGTCCTTGTCCCTCTTGTCTACTCATTGCTCCTCCCAGGACATCATGTGAGGCTCTGTAAACCATGCAAGCTTGAGCCAGAGCCCCGCCTTTGGGTGGTGCCTGGGGCACTCCCACAGGTGTAGCACTCCCAAAGCAAGACTCCAGACAGCGGAGAACCTCATGCCTGGCACCTGAGGTACCCAGCAGCCTCCTGTCTCCCCTTTCAGCCTTCACAGCAGTGAGCTGCAATGTTGGAGGGCTTCATCTCGGGCTGCAAGGACCCTGGGAAAGTTCCAGAACTCCACGTCCTTGTCTCAATTGTGCCATCAACTTTCAGAGCTATCATGAGCCAACCTCACCCCACAGGGCCTCAGTCGCCACCATGTGGGCCTCTCCAGTGCAAACCACCGAGCATTCCACCATGACCGGTCACAGCTACAAATCCAGAGACCATCAATCCTGCTAGAGTGCAGGGTGGCAAGCACCCAAGGGTGGCTGACCAAGACTGCAGAGTCTCCTCCATCTTCAGGTCCATTCAGCCTCCTGGCATTTAACTACCAGCATCCAGTGGTCCCCAAGGAATCCCTTCCTAGCCTCCTGACATGAGTCTGCTGGAAAGAGCATCCAAACAAACAAGTAATAAATAAATAAATAAACTCAATGCAGACACATCCTTGTTTGACAAGGTCAGTGATAGAGCCTGAGGCATAACTTTCTGCTAGAAGAAACCTGTCCCTAAAGCCTTCCCTGCAGGCCACTCTTTGTCACAACACTATGTAACTGTGTGAGGAGCAGGGACAGAGGCCCTGGGTCCGGCACAACAGGGCTCGAAGCCCTGCCCTGCTAAGGGTGTTCTGTGTGAGCTGGGCATGTTGGGTCTCTTCTAGAAAACTGAGATTACAGGACCTACTCAGAGGGCAAATAGCCAGGTGTGAAGTGCCCACAAAGGGCCTGGCACACAGAGGGACTTGGTTCAGGGAAATCCTTGCCTCTCCTTCCCCATCCTGGGGGAGGGTGTTTATGCCCACAGTGAACACAATGCTGCAGGGCTGAGGCTCAGAGGGCACAGATGGCTCAGGTCTGAGCAGCTTATCTCTCAACAAAGCTCCCTTCTAATCCGATTCTCACAGCAAGGTGAGAAGCCCCACCGCTGCACCCTCCACAGCTGCGTAGGAGAACGCCAGGCCCCCTCTGGGCTGATGGGCAGAGATTCCCTGGCCCAGGGCTCTGGGGACAGTGGTGCCCAGGGCTCTGGGGACAGTGGTGCCCAGGGCAAGTCAGAGTCTTTGTCTTGTCACAGGCCAGACTTTTCACATCTCTTCCATATGTTCCACTCCCAGGCTCACTCACTCGCTCACTCACTCGTTCCCAGGCTCTGCAGTGTTCTGTTCACCACGGGCATAAATACCCCTTCCGAGTGGGGCAGGTGAGGCGGGGACTTCCCTGAACCCAGCCCCTCTGTGCGCCAGGCCCTTTGCTGCACTTCACACCTGACTATTTGCCCTCTGAGCAGGTCCTTTAATCTCCATGTTCATCTATCCCGGGGTAGTAATTGTCAGGCCCTGAGCTGCGTTCTGAGGCTCAGAGATGAACAAATATGGTCCCCTGATGTCTGAGAGGCAATCATTTCTCCACAAAGCTGTGGGCACCCAGGTAAGAACAGAGGGCTGGGACTGCAGGAGAAAGAGTGGAAGATGAGGAAGGAATGAAAAGACTGCTCAAACTCAGCAGAAGACACCAGCCAGAGAAGGGGCGCAAGATGTGTGTGTGTGTGTGTGTGTGGTGTGCAGAGGGGTGTGGAGGACATGGGAGGTGGGGGGGGGTTGTGTGGTGTATGTGGTGAATGGTGTGTGTGTACGGTGTGTAATGTGTGTGTGTGCGATGTGTATGTGAGGGTACAGGATTTGTACATGTGTATATGTGAAGTGTGTGTGATGTGTGGTGTGTGTGTGAGGGTATGGACTTTGTGGTGTGTGTGCCATATGTATGTCTGTAGCATGTGTGTAGTTTATACAGTGTGTGTGATGTGTGTTGATGTGTGATGGATGATGGATGTGTGGTTTGTGGTATGTATGGTGTGTGTGTGGCATGTGTGATGTGTGGTGTGCGTGGTGTATGTGTGTAATGTGGTATGTGTTGTGTGTGGTGTGTGTGATATGTGGTGTGTGGTTGTATGTGTGGTGTGTGTGATGTGTATGGTGTGTGGTGTGACTGATGCACTTGTATGGTGTGTGGTTTGTGTGTGTGGTGTGTGTGTGTGCGTAGGGTGTGTGGTGTGTGATGTATGTGTGTGTTGGGGCATGTGGTTTGTGTGTGTGTGGTGTGTGTGTGGTGTGTGTGTGGTGTATGTGTGGTATATGGTGGATGTGTGGTTTGTGGATATTGTTTGTGGTATGTATGATGTGTGTGTGGCATGTGTGATGTGTGGTGTGTGTGGTGTATGTGTGTAATGTGGTGTGTGGTGTGTTGTGTGCAGTGTGTGGTGTGATGTGTGATGTGGTATGTGGTTGTGTGTGTGATGCATTTGTGTGGTGTGTGGTTTGTGTGTGTGGTGTCTGTGTGATTGTGTGTGTGTGTTGGAGTGTGTGGTGAGGGATGTGTGTGTGGTGTGTGTGTGTGTGTGTGTGTGTGTGTGTGTGTGTTGGGGTGAAGTAAGGATGCAGCAAGGGCCAGGCAGGAAGCTTGAGTGTTGAAGGAGAAGTCAGCAACTGGACAGCAGCATCAGGACAAAAGGGAAGCAGAGGGTTCAGCCGGGGCCTATGGAAGGGCCTGGAAAGTCCTCAGTGTTTGGGGTTTATCTTGAGAGCAATGAAGAACCAGAGATTCAGTAAGCAGGAGAGAATGCCATGAGAGAGGGCCATTAAGAGACAGAAGGAAGGGAGCTGAGGCAGGGGTGGCAAGTGCGGCACCAAGGACCAGCGTTGGGGCATTCAGAACAGCAGTGGAGAGGCTTTGGAGATGTGTTAGCTGCGGGGCTAACACGTCCACAGTGGCGGCTCCGTGCTGTGTCAGACCCTCACCAGGAACTCCTTTGGCAAAGTGAATCACCTAGCAGCAATGCAAGAGCTGGCCATTTCTGTGTCCTTCTCCTCTCCCTTGTCTCTTCTCCACCCCAAGCCCCAAAAAAGGTAAAGAAAAAAGCCACACACACAAAAATTAAACATGCGTGCTGGAGAGTCAACCAAAAGGAAGACTCAAAGGCCGTGTGCCCCACTGATAAGCTGACTTGCTTCTGGGAACCATGGAAAGGAAGGGGAGCAAGAGTTCTGGAAGCCTCAGCCTCTGTGAGGGCTGTAAGTGAGGAAGACTAGATATTTAATACACACAAATAAGAGGAAGACACAGCCTGGCCTGTGGGAAAGAAGGAGCACCTTCTCTGAGGGCCAGGATTGCAGGGTCACAGCTGTGAGCCACAGCTGTGAGGACACGAGGCCCTCAAGGGACACCAGCCCCTCAAAACAGCCTAGGTCAAAGATGAGAACATAAAAGGAGCAGAGGACCCTGCACTTGCTCCGCCCTAGCCTGTCCTATCTGTCCTTCTGAGGAGGGAGGGAAAGCCTGTGGCAGGTTCCCAGGCCGACAGAGACGCTCACGCAAAGCTAGAGGTCCGTGGCTCCTTGGGAGCAGGTGCTGCTTCCCTCAGAGATACCAAAAACTTTCCTTCCCACTCTCACTGACCACCTTCAAAACTTGCAACATGCACTTTTAAACTTTCTCAGCAATCACTTGAACCGGGGAGGCAGAGGTTGCAGTGAGCTGAGATCACACCATTGCACTCCAGCCTGGGCGACAGAGCAAGACTCCGTCTCAAAATAAATAAATAACTTTTTCAGCAGTGGAAGAATTTCGCTCTCAAAGGGAGGTTGAGACTAAAGGGAAACTCTTGTGAATAACACTTTTCCAGTTTGGGGAGAAAACCCAAACATCTGGAAGTGACTTTAAAATAATAAAACTGGAATTCTTATGTTGCCCTAATTGAGTCTTGAAGAATCTAGACCAGTTTGCAGGTTACAGTAGCATCAATAGAGGAAGTGTACAGTCTCCGTGGCAACTAAAGGGGTCGATACTCCCTGAAAGGGTGGGACCCCGCTGTAATTGATAGAGCATGAGCTTCAAAATCAGATTTGGGCTCACATGATGGCTCTGTCATACACCCACTTTGTGACATTGGGGAGGTCAGATAACCTCTCAGAACTTCTCCCCATCCATAAAATGAGGCTGAAACTGCCTATCACACCTCCCAGCTCATCTCTGGGCAAATAGCCCGTGGTAAACCACCTTCTGGAGCCCTGCGGGGGCCATACCCTGGCCGGTTAATGCTCACACAGTGACTCCCCTTACAGACTCTGCAGCATTTTTCCTGCTTTGGGAGCATAGGTGTGTCCAGGGCTCAAGTCTGATCTCCCCAGTGGTGGCTGGACCTTGCCCATTTACTAGGAGCCTGGCAACATGTAGGTAGCTCTAGAAGCAATAAGCAGACTCAGGTTATCAACAGCTCCATCTCAGGAAGAGGTCTTTGGCACCCATCTGCTTTTTAACCTCAGTTAAACTACACTGCCCCTCAGGACATGCAAAGTGTCAACCAGAATGGGGGGAGGGTGTCAAATTATAAGATGTCCACTCTGAGAAGTCCCTTTCCACATTAAATGCAAGAATTTCAACTCAATGTTTAAATATGCTGTGCATGTAAACATTTATATATGTGCCATAGTCTCCACCACTCCCTATTGCCTTTCACCCAGCCATTTCACACATTTCCATTTCCTGCCTGGTTCAGCATGGATTTTCAGTGTATACCCTTGGCTTCTCCACTCTGCCAATTTATGGATGGATGGATAAGGAGCATGACAAAGGCCATGACCGGGAACCAAGGCTTATGACATTGTCAGATGCCTCTTCATTCATTCATTCAATATTCCTCTATTTGGCCGGGCGCAGTGGCTCACCCGTTTAATCCCAGCACTTTGGGAGGCTGAGGCAGGCGGATCACCTGAGGTCAGGAGTTCAAGACCAGCCTGGCCAACATGGCAAAACCCAATCTCTACTAAAAATACAAAAAAACTAGCCGGCCATGGTGGCACACAGTTACTCAGGAGGCAGAGGCAGGAGAATCACTTGAACTTGGGAGGCGGAGGTTGCAGTGAGCAGAGATCATGCCACTGCACTCCTGCCTGGGTGCAGAGCCAGACTTCGTCTCAAAACAAACAAACAAACAAACAAACAAAAATATATATATATTCCTCTATTCGTTCAGCCAGTCAATAATTACCCATTGAGGACCTATTTTGTGCCAGACCCTATGCTAATGCTGAAGCAAACTATGAATGAAACTCAGCCTCTTCCCTGGTGCACAGCCTTCTAGGGGAGACACAAAAGCAGACTGCACAAAAGACTTTTTTTTTAGACAAGGTCTCACTGCGCTCACTCTGGAGTGCAGTGGTGCAATCATGGCTCACTGCAGCCTCAACCTCTCAGATTCAAGCAATCCTCTCACCTCAGCCTCCCAAGTAGCTGGGACTACACCTCAGCCTCCCAAGTAGCTGGGACTACAGGTGTATGCCATCACACCCAGCTAATTTTTTTTTTTTTTTTTTTTTTTTTTTTTTTTTTTTTTGTAGAGACAGGTTTTCACGGTGTTTCCCAGGCTGGTCTTAAACTCCTGGGCTCAAGTGATCTGCCCACCTCGGCCTCCTAAAGTGTTGGGATTATAGGCATGAGCCACCGAGTCAGGCCTACTAAAGTCTTTTAAAGGCTCTGTTGAGGTTCCAAATAGGGAGCAGTTCTGCTTGGAGGCAGAGGTATGCTAGGAAAAAGAATCTTCTGGGAAGAAAGAGATCCTTTGATGTGTTCCTCTACTCAGTCTCAGCCATGTGGCAGGCTGAGAAAGCAAAGGAGACTACTGTAGGCAAAGTCAGGGTTAGAGGAGGCTCTGCCCACCCGTATGAATGCCCATACAAGCCAGGAGTCAGAATGAGTGGGCAAAATGGTTACTGGAGCCACTAACCTATTAGATGGGTACAAGGAAACAGGTGGCACCACAGAGTCCCTCAGTTAAAGAGATAGGCAAGGTCTCAGATAGGAAAGGGACCCCATCCTCATGTCAGAGGAAACTGAGATAGCCACTCTACACCTGGCCCGGGCACAGCAAGGGGGCAGGGGAAGCCACATGTCACAGTAGATGGGTATCCAGGCTCCCCAGGCACACTGAGCCCACAGCTGAACTACTAACCTCAGAGCTCACTGAGTGGGGCGGGACTCCCAGTTTCCAGCCAGGGGAGGACATCCTGGCCCAGACCTGCAGAGGAGAGTCTTCAGGACCTTACCTGGACTGGGACAGTACCTGACGGAATTGTATCTAGAGAGGGTATGTCCAGTACACAGTTGATACATCCAAGCCTATTCAGATCCCCTGACCCTATTCTGTCAAGCTCAGTACCAAACTCTGCCTTGGGCCAGGACTTTCCTATCGTGAGCAATCATTTTGTTGAAACTTTGGACAGAGCAGCTCAGGATGCCAACACACCAGGACAGAGGTCAGTCTGTCAAATGGTCTCACCCTCACTGTCTCAGACTGCTGGGGCAGAAGCAGGGCACTAGAAACCTATTGCGACTGTCTACCCGACCTGGCTCCCCCCTCATATTGTCAGGAAATGAGCCTGAATCGCAGGCACATGCTGCTCACCACATCCTCAGTACCAGATGGAGCCTGGAAGTCACCTGGCCCAACTGCTGTCAGTGCAGGTATGCACGTGTGTCTATGCGTGGAGATAAGATGTGAGTGGATTCACACATTGTTGGATATGTGTGTATGTGTGTACAAATGGGACTATAACTCTTGTGTATGTTTGTGAGCAGCTGTGTGAATTTGTGTCTATGCACATGGGCAAGGGACTGTGGGTTGGCACACTCAGGTAGATCAGATAAAGGCAAAGACATGGATGTGCACGTGAGCCTGAGTTGGCATATTGGCAGACTTACAACACATGCATGCCCAGGCTAACAGCTGACACGCCAATTCTCGCTTATCAATAGCTGGAGAAGCTGCCATAAATCCACCAGAAGAAGAGCTGTCAGAAGCTGACTTTAAGATGACACTATGTGGTACTGCACTGCAGGTACCATGGCAAGGAGGTCCCAGGAGACAGGGAGCTCACCACCCTTCAGGGGTGACGGGCATTTGGAAGACAGTGTGACTGGTGTGCCTGAGGCTGCCCAGGCTCTGTAAGTGAGGGTCAGGTCCCATGTCTCATGGCAGATGAGTCCTACTGAGCCTTGACAAGCCAAGACCTTCCATACTGCAAGGTCAAGATCAGGGTCCATGGTGAGAACCACCATAAAGAGCTGCTGTTTTCCCAGGTCCTTAGGTGATTTGAGGACAGGGTTGTATCTAGGGTGACCGCCAAATACCAGGTTACCTTAGGCTTTGCTGGTTTTAGCATTGAAAGTCCTGCATCCCTGGAAACCCCTCAGTCCCAGGCAAATTTGGGCAGCTGGTTACACTAGCAGATCTGAACCTAAAACAGCTGAAGGAAGCAGCAGGAGTTGGAGTGGGGGGTGTGGAGGGTCTTTCTCAGACCCTTCTACATCAGAATAGAAGTCAGATGTAATGGTGCTGCCTGTATTCTCAGCTGCTCAGGAGGCTGAGGCAGGAGAGTCTTTTGATCCCTAGAGTTCAGGGCCAGCCTGGGCAACATAATAACACCCTATCTCTAAAAAGAAAGAAGAAGAAAATACAAAGTAAAATACAAAACTGGGGCTCTGGAAGGAATGTGTGATGTGTGAGTGAGAGGCCTAGAAGCTGAAGCTTCAGTAGATTCAAGATCATCTTCTTCTGCCATGAAAAGGGTTTGAACCAGGCGGGCACAGTGGCTCATGCCTGTAATCCCAGCACTTTGGGAGGCCAAGATGGGTGGATCACCTGAGGTCAGGAGTTCAAGACTAGCCTGGCCAACATGGTGAAACCCCGTCTCTACCAAAAAAAAAAAAAAGAAAAAAAATTTGCTGGGCATGGTGGCGTGCACCTGTAATGCCAATATTTGAAAGGCTGAGGCAGGAGAATCACTTGAACCTAGGAGACAGAGGTTGCAGTGAGCTGAGATCCGCCATTGCACTCCAGCCTGGGTGACCGAGTGAGACTCCAGCTCAAAAAAAAAAAGAGTTTGAACCTTCTTTGGAGCCAACCCAAACTGTATGTGAATCCAAGCTCTGCACCTCAGAGAGAATAAGTCACTTGCTTGGTCGTACACAGCCAATGAGGAAATCTCCCTCCTCTGCAAAGCAGAGAAAATCACATTGGGAGAGCAGTGCAGGTCAAATAAGATAATATGGGCAAATATACATAAGCACACATACAGCACATGGCATGTAGGCTACTCCTTCCCCTTCCCTCTCCAGTGCATGGCTGTTGACTGAGGGAACTGAGGAGAGAGAAATCAACGGCCCTAGATTGGTGAGGAGCAGGGCTAACAGGACCCAGGGAGAGCTGGCTTTTCTCGGCCCACCAAGACATCTACTCCAGGAAACCTTGGCTCTGCCTCTGGCTCCTGGGAAATCCACGGCAAGACTCAGTCTCCACATCCCTATATGGGACTTGCAGAATACTTGCCTTAGCTTTGTCCCAGCACTTTGGGAGGCAGATTCAGAACATCTGTGCAATTTAAAGTGTGTCTTTTCAGCAAAAGAGCCAAGCCTAAGGAGACTCAACAAGGGTTTCGGCCAATTAGGCCTGAAAACTGCTGCACATTCTAAAACCATTGATTCATCTTCCTTCTTCTCTGCAAATCCCTGACCCTTGCTCACAGTAGATCATGTAGGGCTAGACCAAGGGATGGGGGGTGCTCTGTTCCCTCAAAGGCCCCTGGCAGGGGGAGGGGGGGAATGCTGAGTCCTCAGCTGTGGAGACCTCTCCCAGGAGCACACAGAGGAGGGATCTCCTCTATCTGAGAACACATCCACCCAAGGGCATCCTGGGAAGTGGCCTGGCTTGGGCTTGAAGTGACCTGTACCCCCATAAATGGCCCAACCAGGAAAAGGAAAACAGGCTGCATTTCCAAGCACCCTCCAGTGTCAGAGCAGGAGAACGAGGAAGCCCAAGGAGCTTTACCAGCAGCCAAAAAGGTTCCTGGGCTTACCTGTGTCTTCAAGTTATCAGCATCCAGGACCCCAATAGCAGTGCCTTGCTTTGTGTAAATACCCTCTAGGAATGAGATCTCGTGCCTCTCGGGCAGTTCAGATCTATCTTGGCCAGCTCTGTGCAAGTCTGTCCTAAGATGGGGCTTAACTCTGCCTTCAGGCCCTTCACTCTTCCTTGGAAGGTTTGAAGAGTGGGTCAGCTGCCCCTTCATGGTCCCAGACTGGGCACTGACTGGGAATGGGGAGCAGAACTGCCTCTCACCCTGGTGGACACCTGAGGGTCCTCCCTGCTGCCCACCACACAGATCAGACCCTTTGGGAGAGGTGGTCCAGCCTGGGGAACAGGGCAGGAATGGGTTGAGATCACAGAGAGGGGGTCCTGATAACCCCTTACCATCTGCTGCCCATCCATCACCCTTTCTCTTTGCCTTTGGTCTCACGCGGCTTATAGAACCTGCTTAGACTGCTAAGGCAAGGCCCTCTCGGCCGCTCCACTAACTTTTCTTCTGGAATGCTTAGCTCAGAGAAGACAGCTAAGCCCCTGAAAGTCACAGAGGAAGTTGATGAGAAAAGAAAACTGCGAAGCCCAAGCCCCACCAGGACTTAAGTACCCTGGGAAAGCCTCAGGACAACTTGGGGGAAAGACACTCCTGTCCCCCATGGTGTCCTCCTGTCCAGGACTGGGGGCCGCCGGCAAAGGGGGCGTGGCGGGCGGGGAGTCCTCTTGTCACGCCCTCCTGCCCCCGCCCGCGGCTGGGAGCCTGTCGCTCCGCTCTGCGCCGCTAATTGGTCTCGTCAGGCGGCCGGCAGGAGCAGATCCGAGCCGTGTCATCCTCTTAGCGCCCTCACGCCACCCGCCGCTCCCGCCCCGTGCCCCCTCCCGCCGCGGCTGCAGTCGCCGCTACCCCCATTGTGGTCTCTGCCCTCCCCGCGGGCCCAGGGCATGCTCCGTGCCCCTGCGCCCGGTCTCGGCGGCGGCAGGCGACACTCCGCGCCGGCGGAGACATGAGGCGCTGCCGGTGGGCCGCCCTGGCCCTGGGGCTGCTGCGCCTCTGCTTGGGTGAGTGGCCGCTGGGCCGCGCTGGCCGCGTGGATGGCGAGGGAGATGGGCGCTGGCGTCACCCAGGTGGCCAGAGGGACATGGTCCTGGACCACTTCCAGAGTGGGACTCGGGCTGGTGGACGGGAGCGGAGAAGTCCTTCCATCTTCCTGGCCCATTCGGTAGTGGGGAGTGGGGTAGCGGAGTAGTGGGGAGCTCCGGGGCGCTTCTCCAGAGCTGGCATCCTAGGGCCCCAGGGTTTGGCGCCCGGACCCCCGCTGCTCTCCGCTTGCTGGGAACCAGAGCTGTAGGCTTGGTGGCAGCTCCGATGCTGCGTGGGGCAGGAGATAGTGCCCTGACTCGCGGCTTGACCTTGGCTGGGCTGGGGCACTGCCCCTCTCCGAGCGCGGGTGCAATCTGCCCATTGATGAAGGAGGGGTTGGATTGCTACCTGGGTTCTAAGCGCCCACATGCTACGTGTCCCTGACAAGCCCGAGCCCACCGGGGGCGGAGTGGGGGTCAGGGGCATCCTCTGGGCGGCGCCCCAGTGGGGTCCCTCGGTGCACTTGGGTTGGGGAGGCGGAGCGCCCTCCTGCCCAGTAGCTGGGCCTGACGCGGGACCGCGCTGGTGCGAAGCTCCCTCCTGGTGTCTGGGTGTCCTTTGCCTGGGTGTCCGTCTGTTCTGTGTTCTTTTTCCAGCTCAGGCCAACTTCGCCCCGCACTTCTTCGACAACGGGGTCGGCAGCACCAACGGAAACATGGCTCTGTTCAGCCTCCCAGAGGACACCCCTGTAGGTGAGTAGCCCTGGCACCTGCTCCCGATAGGTCTCCCTGAGGGGTGCAGGCAGACTTAGAACACAAAGTGCCCCAGGCACCACCCAAGTTGCTGCGCGCGCCCGGGGGCTCCTTGTTTGCTCTCCGAATTCCCCTGGGCAATGGCAGGAAAGAAGGTCATTGCTGCCATGGCGACTTAAGTCTGGCCAGTCCTGGAGACCAGGGCTCCCCCCCACAGACAGGGTCGCCCCGCGAGGCAGGCAGCTACAGCTGCCCCTTATGGCTGTGTGACCTTGAACAAATGTATTTACCTCCCTGAGCCCCAGGTCTCTAGGCTTTAAAACGGCCTAAGAACATCCAACTTGCTGAGATATGCAGAGAGAGGGGAGGAGAAAGGGGAGATTTCACACTCCTTCTCCCTCACTTTGTGGGTAGTGGGAACCCGGGGAAAAGGGAGAGCAGAGCAAAGTAGGCACCTGGCTCAGAAATCCCTGCAGAACCAGGTCCAGGCATCGGGGACAGTGGTGCACTGTGGGTCACCCCTCCTGCCTTAATGGCTGCTCCCATTTCCCCTTCCCTGTACCCAGGAGCCCCTCAATCTTGGATCCTGAGAGAGGAGTTATTACCAGGCTGAGCAGAACATAGGCACTACAGTTAGGCACGGCAGACCTGCACCTGCTCTGTAACCCGTGTTATAGATTACAATCTGGAAAGTGGCTGATCATCACAACCACCCGCTGTGAAGAATAAACATACAAAGAGGGAAGCAGCCAGCAGGGGTGAGGCCAGCAATGAGCACCAAGTTCAGGGCAGTACCTTTGGCACTGAGTTGAATAGTCACTTTATAAACAGCTGAATCGTTGGTCCTGAGCATCTGCCACTTTTAGGAAAAGTTGGGTCTCAGATTCTATGTCTCTCCACTGTGTTTCCTTCCAGGCTCTCACGTATACACCCTGAATGGGACAGACCCTGAGGGAGACCCCATCTCCTACCACATCAGCTTTGACCCCAGCACTAGAAGCGTCTTTTCTGTTGACCCCACTTTTGGAAACATCACCCTGGTTGAAGAGCTGGACAGAGAGGTATGGGGAGGTGTGGGGAGTGCTGCGGGGCCACTGCCTGTAGACAGACCTCGGTGGGCTGAAGTTCCCCTGGAGCACATTGGTTAGAACCTCTCCACAGAGTAGGGGATGAGGGGGCACACCCCAGGCACATCCACTCTGTGAGATCTCTGGGCCACTTCCCATCAGCAGAGTGGGCTTTACTTTCATGCTCCTCCTTCACACAGAGCGAAGAGTGGGCTCCTTTAACGAGCACCTGCCAGCCCTGCTAATCTTTTAAGCATGTTCCATTAAAAATAAATCCGTTTGCACTTTGAGGTTTCTGAAAGAAACCTCACAAAGTGATTTTTCAAGCCTGTCCTGGGAGAGGCACAGGAACTCAGAGCAGGTCAAGGCTGGAAAGGGTGGTTGGCAGTGAGTCTGAGTTTGGCAGAGCTCCTCCACTCTACACACTTGAGAACTTGCAGGCAACAGGGCATGGGCTTTTTCAGACCGCATAGCAGCCTGGTGTGTGGCTAACTGGACCTCAGCTGTGGGGATGCTGCCAGCTCGTGACAGCCTCCACTAGCTGCAGGACAGGGTAGAGAAAGGAAAGGGAGGTCTCAGGGACTGCTGTGGGGACACAGCAGTGGAGCCTGACTGTGCTGCCAGTACCCCACTCCCTGGCACCCGCGGGATCTGGCAACATCCGATACCCTTCCCCATTGAGGTCTCACCATATCCTGGGAGCACTGAGACACCATGGATGTGAGCCTCTGCAGAGCCCTGGAATGTGGAGAGGTGTGGAGAGAAAAGGGGAGAAAAGGGAAAAGAAAGAGGAAAAGTCTTTATGGGACCTTGAGCACACTAAGGTCGACATCTCGCCTCACTGTGGCAGGAGAGTATTTTCTGTTGGAGCCCCAACAGACCCTCTGGGTCTCTGAGTTTATAAGAACCCCGGACACAAAAGTCCCAAAATAAGGTCTCAAGCATGGGGGGAGGCAGCTTTCTACTCTGCCAGGCATGCTGTCACCACCACTTACCCTGCTCCAGGGATCTATTGGCACGCCCAGACCTCCTCTGATGGGTGCGTGGGGCAGGGAGAGCTCCATCCAGCCACAGGGGTCCTATGGCGTGTCAGACTCCTGGACACTCACTCAGTCCCTGTGCTTCACAGAGGGAAGATGAGATTGAAGCCATCATCAGCATTTCTGATGGCCTGAATCTGGTGAGTGCACGTCCAAGGCAGTCCCTGGCAGCCTGCAGTATTTGGGCCTGAGAAGGGTGAGGCTGGCACGATTCCTCCCCAAGCCTTCATGGGGGCTTTTCTGCAAGTTTAAGCTAGGGCCCAGCAAGACCTGCCCAAAGTGCCCACAGGAGAGGGCTGCAGCAAGGCCAGGGGGAAGGAAGGAAAAGAAGGAATGGAGAGATCAGGCTCTCTGAGCTGAGCTTCTAATGGGTCTAACCCACATTCCACAGCATCTCCTCAAACTTGCCCTCCCCATCTGCTTCCCCCACCCAGGTCTTGCCCTCCTGCTCAGTCACCTGAGCTCAACACCCCACAGCAACCACTTTCTCTCAGCGATCATCAGTGCTCACTGGATAACTCAACAAACCCCAGGGGCTCACTGGCCTCCAGGCTCTCCGACCCCAACTGCCTCTGAAGTTGTCACTATGGAACAGTCAGATCTGCCCACTCTGAGGCTGGGAAAGCACTAACAACTGGCCTCCGCCACTGGCGGGATGAAAATTAAGCTTCTGCCTGGTGTTCCAGGACTCCTCGTTGGGCACCATCTGCCTCACTGCCTTTTCTCTCACATCCACCCCACCCAGGCCATAATCTAGCCATAAATCTACTTTCATCCTCAGCTCACCATGCATTTCACTCCTCTTTGCCTTTGCACATACAACCCCTTCTTCCTGGCACAACTTTCTACCTCTTTCCTTCTGGCAAACTGCCTCATGGATTAATTCTCACTCCTCTAAGAAGCCCACCTGCTCTCCACCACCACAGCCCAGGAACTCTCAACCCCATCGGATGCATTTACACAGGCCATGTGTGTGCGCTGGTGCAGTGCAGGGGCCCCGCCCTCAGTGCCTGGCATACTGCTGCTATCACCTTGAGGAGATCATAAAGTGTTTTTTAATATGCTGATCTTTGCCCTGATATCCCAGCCACCATGACTACTGCAAAATAACACATCATCAGACAGTCTTCTGCCTCCAGGATGAAACACAGTGTTTGGCACTAAGAGGCTGCTTAATGTTTATTGCATTAATGAATAAAAGAAGGAAGAGAGAGAGAGAGAGAGAGAGAGGAGGGATGGGCAGAGACGTGTACATTGGAGTGATAGAGGTCGCTATCCATTCATCCTTCAGAAGGTCTCATTGCACTGGCTCTTGACCCCTCTGCCCCTTCTCAGGTGGCCGAAAAAGTCGTGATCCTGGTGACCGATGCCAATGATGAGGCGCCCAGGTTCATCCAGGAGCCTTATGTTGCCCTGGTTCCCGAGGTAAGTGAGGAGCTGCTAGAGGGGCTGATTTTCCCACCCAGGCCCATAGCCTACCCCTGGGGCTGCCCTGTGGCCTGGCCATGGCTCACTGCCCTGTGGAGAACCTCTCTGTCACCACCTGCTCCCTCCAACATTCGCTTTTATTCCAAAGGAATGTTCATTTGCTTTTTTCCATTATACATGTTCAGTGTAGAATTGTGAAATGTGTAGAAAAGTAAGAGAAACTAGAGTTTTCAAAATCACCCTCGCTGTCTCCAACTTGAGACATTGTTAAATTTTGGTGTATTTCCTTCTAGTCCTTTTTGTCATTATAGAGTTTTGTTTTGTTTTTTTCTGTTTGTTTGGCATAGTTGTGATTATACTAAACATATGCTTCCTATATCCTATTTGCACTTAAGTTATAACATAAGCATTTTCCTCATTAATTGTAAAGTTTGGGTAACTATCATTTTAATAGCTTCCATAAGTGAACAGTCTATCATTTACAGAATCATTGCCTGATGTTTGGATATTTAAGGTGCTCTAAATTTTGCTATCATGAGACACATCAACTTCTGAGCATCAATTTGTTTTTCATTAATTAGGATTCTTTCCTTAAGATACAGTTCAGGATTTGAAATTACTGCATCAAAAGCACACATGCCCACAGGGTGTTGCCAGATTGCTTTTCCAGAAGGCACCTGTTTGCTCCCTCCTGCAATGGGAGGATTTTTCTCCTCTGCCCCTTGACAATACTGAATTCTCAAAGTTTAAAATGTTTGCTAATTCAGGCTGGGCACGGTGGCTCACACCTGTAATCCCAGCACTTTGGGAGGCCGAGATGGACAGATCACCTGAGGTCAGGAGTTCGAGACCAGCCTGACCAACATGGTGAAACAGTCTCTACTAAAAATACAAAATTAGCCTGGCATGGTGGTGGGCACTTGTAATCCAAGCTACTCGAGAGGCTGAGGCAGGAGAATCGCTTGAACCCAGGAGGCAGAGGTTGCAGTGAGCCAAGATCACGCCATTGCACTCCAACCTGGATAACAAGGGCGAAGCTCCATCTCAAAAAAAAAAAAAAAAAGTTTGCTAAGTCACTAGGAAAAAGATGTCTCATTCTTGCTCTAAAATGTAGGTATATGGTCCCTGGTGATCCTAAATATGTCTGTGGTTATGAGCCATCTCCTCCTTTTTGAATTGCTGTTTCATAGGTAGACCTTTTATCTGTTTGGGGTCTTGGTTTTTTTCTTCTCCCTCTCTCCTTGAGCACATCCCCCAGCCCCTCACCACGTCTTTTTGCTCCAATTTCCCTTTCCCTCTTTCCTGCACCCTCTCTGGGCCCAGCCCCCACTGGGTGCTCACACATTTTATCCTCAATTGTTCACCTCTTTTTGACACTTCACTCCCCGACCCCACTGCTGCATGCCCCTATGCCTCTGTCCCCCTGAGAATGCTGTCACTGTCTCTGACCCTCCCCTGTGGCTGTGACCCCCTCAGGACATACCTGCTGGGAGCATCATCTTTAAGGTCCATGCAGTGGACAGGGACACAGGCTCTGGAGGGAGTGTCACCTACTTCCTGCAGGTAAGGCAGGACACACAGGACCTAACCTGGGGCTGGGCCGGAGGGGACACCTAGATGGCCCCTACCTCCATCGCCCCAGGCCCTTAGGTCGGTGCCTCTATGATTCCCGAGAAGTACATGAAGGGTTGGGATGGGCAGGAGGGGATGTGAGAGGGACAGAAGCCTTCTTCCCCTGATGGGCCCATCCTGGCGTCCTCTAAGTCAGCCTGTCCCCTCCCTCTTCCAACGTCCCCAGGACCCTCAGCCCTCCACATCCCCAGCCCTTTCCCCAGGGGCTGCCACATGGGTGGAGAACCCCGTGTAGGCCCAGAATGGTCAATAGAAAAAAGAGCAGAAGAGACAACACTCAAAAGAAGCAGAGCTCTGATTCCCCTAACAACACAGGCCCAGAAGTCCCCTGGACTGCACGGGTGCTGGAGAAACCCCACCCCTCACCACTCCCGTGACCTTCAGCGCGTTATCTAACTTTCCCAGCTCAGTTTCCTCATGTATCACATGGGAGTGATAAAAACACATCCTTGTTCCATTGTTCTGAAAACTACATATGTGTAAAGTCCCCAATAACAGCACCTGGCACAAGCGCCTGACACTACCCAGCCAGAAGGGCCCCCAGGGACCCTACCAGAGGCCGGTGCTCCCTGCCTGCCTCCTTCAGGCTGCACACCCTCTCCCCCGATGCCAGGCTGCCTGGGACTGGCCCGCAGTCACTTGCTTGGTGTAGGGTTTGAAGGTCCCAACGTTTCTCTCCTTCACTGTGACTTTTAACCCCTGGCTCCCTCTGGGTTAGATTACTCCGCAGACATTGCCATCTGCTGGACCCTCCAGGCCAGAGCTAAGCCCAAAGCTGAGCCCAAGAAAATTTGCTTTCCAGCTGAGCAGGAGGAAAAACAAAGGCCCAAAAGGGAACCTTGTGTTTTTCACTGAGGGTGTGGGAGGGAAAGCCCCAAGTCCTATGAAGGAGAACCTGGGACCAGAAAAGCTGAGTGCTCTGAAGTAGGAACCTCAGCCCTGAGGTCCTGTAATGAGGGGCAGTGAGGACCCCCTTCAGAAAGCAGAGCGGGCATTCCTGGGGCTGGCCTGCATTCTTGCTGAGGTCCAGCTGCCCCCTAATTCTTATAGAACCTGCACTCCCCATTTGCCGTGGACCGCCACAGCGGTGTGCTGCGCCTCCAGGCTGGGGCCACTCTGGACTACGAGAGGTCCCGGACCCACTACATCACCGTGGTCGCCAAGGTAACACAGCAGGACAGGGGAGCATCCAGTGTCTCCTCAGCCCTTGGGTTGGAACCAAGTTAGGTTCTACAGGGGAGTGGGAGCAGTTTGGAGAGCAGGAGACATGATGGGCGTGGGGAAATAGGGAGCAGCTGCTCGGAATTTTTCCTGCCTGGACATATTCTCCAGGGAGGCTGGGGTCTGTGGGCTGTGGGAGGGCATATGCCTCCTCGAAACTAATGGGCCAGGATCCCCCAGGTAAGACCAGGTGGGATGGCCAAGAGAATGGCATCCCCCTCAGATCCTCAACAGCATGGCCTCTGGGCACCTCCCTCTCGCTGGCCAGGCTTGCTCACCCACCTCCTCCTCTCTGTGTGCCCAATCACCCCTTCTGAGCCTCAGTTTCCTCATCTGCCCACCCCTGAAGCTCAACTAAGTTCCTCATATTTCTGAAGTGTGTGGTGTGGGAAACATTGGAAACCAGCAGGTGCCCACCAAAGCTTCTTCCCCCACAAAGAGCGCAAAACCCTAGCAGCCCCTCTAGGCCCAGCACTTTCTTTTGCAGGCAAGCCCCTGCTGGTCACAGCCTGGCTTACAGGCCATCCCACTGCAGCCTGTACCAGGAGGCCCGAGTCAGCCTCGCCTGCCCATAGCTGCACGGGCTGGGCTGGTTGCACATCTCCATTATGATGCTCAGTGCGGGGCCCAAGTCCTGCTGTTGTGGGTCCCTGACACTCAGCACAGGCCAAGCACAGAGTAGATCCTCAGGAGGTGCTTGAGGCTTGGTTTCTGGCTGGGAGGGGGAATTTAGCTCTGAATGCCCCCTCTCCTGCCACTCATCTGATATGATTTCTCTGAAGAGAGAACTAACCCCACTTGCAAAGGAATGGTGGCACTTTAACATTCCCAACACTCCTGTGAGAGAAGAATTATCTCCGGGTGACACAGAAGCAAACAGAAACTTGGAGAGGACAGCTGGCCTCACAGCCATAGGTGGCAGAAGCCAGGTTTTCACGGATTCTGTCCAATTCCACATCTCAACTTGTCTTCACTCTCCTGTGGCCTCCGATTCTTCTGCAGGATGGCGGTGGGAGGCTTCATGGGGCTGATGTGGTGTTCTCAGCCACCACCACGGTCACGGTCAATGTGGAGGATGTTCAGGACATGGCCCCTGTCTTCGTGGGCACACCCTACTATGGCTATGTGTACGAGGACACCCTTCCGGTGGGTGGCTGTCCCCCTCAGCCAGCGATCCCTCCAAATGCCTCCTGCCCTGACCCTTGTGATTTTAGGGACCCCCTGCTGGAGATGGCTGGTCTGGTCCCGGTTGCCCTCCTCACACAGAGGCCAGCTCTGGACTCACCCAGCCTCAGGCCATGAACTGGCCCTTTTGCCCCCAACTAGACCATGAGCTCCCCATGGGCAGAGACCAGGCTGGAGCCAGGCCTCGCTAGGCTACAGCTTAAGAACTCTGTGCAATTGAATTGCTTTCTCAATTTGCGTTTGTCTGATTATTCTTGACTTTTTTTTTTTGGAAACGGAGTCTCGCTTTGTCGCCAGGCTGGAGTGCAATGGTGCGATCTGGGCTCACTGCAACCTCTACCTCCTGGGTTCAGGCAATTCTCCTGCCTCAGCTTCCTGAGTAGTTGGGACTACAGGTGCACACCACCATGCTCAGCTAATTTTTTGTATTTTTAGTGGAGAAGGGGTTTCACCATGTTGGCCAGGCTGTTCTGGAACTCCTGACCTCAGGTGATCCACCCGCCTTGGCCTCCGAAAGTGCTGAGATTACAGGTGTGAGCCACCGCGCCCGGCCTATTATTGACTTTACAAAGCAAAATGAAACACTTTTTGAGGACCCAGTGGTGGAGACGGGCTCAGAGTGAGGGAGAGAGATGCCGGACTGCTCTGGATGGGGGCTGCAGGGTGGGCCAGCGTAGGCCCAGGCCATCCCACTGAGGAGCTAAGGGGAGGAGGTGGTGCTGAGGGACAGGGCTCAGGGTAGGCTCCAAGGGAAGAGGCAGCACCTGGGCTGGGTTAAGAAGTAGCCTGGAGTTGACCAGAGAGAAAGGCTTGTGTAGGGGGGCTTAAGAGGGGACAACAGGCAGAAGTCAAGCAAGACTTATATAGTTGGGGCAGCCCTACGCCCAAACCCTTCCAGCAGCACCAAAGGCCCACAGGATAAAATCTTAATTCTGGGACCTCGCATTTGAGGCCTGGCCTCTCTCCCACCTCTTCCTTCATGCACCTCTGGGGTGGGATGAAAGCAAAAGATGGAGAGGGCAGTGAAAGTAAGGCTAGAGGTTAGGGAGCAGTAGAGGCAAGGGCTGAGTGTGGTGTGTGGGCCAGGAGTTGGTGCAAGAGGCCTGAGAATCCCTGGGCAGCACAGGTACTGACCCCTACTGGTGAGAAAGAAGCAGGGGCTCAGGCTATCCCTCCAGCCCTGGAGGCCAGTGGGTGCTTCGATCCCCCTGCAGAGGAGAGTAGGGCCATGCTCCACCGCCACGTAGAGGCCTGACCCTTTCCTAGGTGGGGGTAGCACCTCCTTTTCATCATGGAGACATTGTTTGGGGAGGGGAGGGTCCCCATATTGCCCATCAGGCAGCGGCTGTTCCTGTTTCCCCGAGGGCTCGGAGGTACTGAAGGTGGTCGCCATGGATGGAGACCGGGGCAAACCCAATCGAATTCTCTACAGCCTTGTAAATGGTGAGTCTGAGCAGCTTTGGGGGCTGCAGCTTTGACTCTCTAGGTGACCAGAGCAAGGTTCCTCAACCTCTCTAGATTCCAGCTCCCTCACCTGTAGGACCAGGATTACAAGATGTATGGAGAGGAAGGGCTGTGTCCAAGACAAGCAAGTCTCTGGGTTGTGTGCTTCGGTCCCTGCCTGTCATGATATCCAACAGCCAAGAGAGCATGGGGCAGGGGCGCTGAGAGCAACACGGAGGTGCTAACCCATGCTCCTCTCCCCCTGGGTATTTGCTCCTTGATGGGAATGCGTGGCAACATTTCTCACACTTTTTAAGTGGCTATGTATTTTCCTCATTCTTTTTAATTGTTATCCCACAGCATATAGATGAATTAAATGAATCAAATGCATTGGTGATATGGCATCTCCCTAGTGCTAGCCCTATATATGGACAAGAAAACTGAAGTTCAGAGAAGCTGAGTAGGCATCCCAAGTTTCCATCATTGTATTTGAACCTGAGCCTGCTAGCTCCACAGTCTGTGCTCTTCCCACAGCTGGGCAGCAACTGAGCCAGATGAGCTGTCCCTGGGCCAGGCCAGGGCATCGCATCTGGTGCCTGGTACCAGAAGTGTGCATGTCTATATGCCCCGGCCTTTCTCTAGGACATGCCTGTGCATACTCACTTTCCAGCAGCTCACATGTGGGCTGCCAGCCTCCTTTCCCCAGCCTCACAGGACCTCAGCTGCCTTCCTTCCCATCACCACTGCAAACCTTTACCCAGTCCTTGAGCACCCACCCCATCTCCTGCCTGTCCCACTCCACACCCTCCCTCTCCTCTCTTTATTCCCTCCCTCCTGTCCCTTCTTTCCCCCCTCCCCTTCCATGTCCGTCTCTCACTGTATGTCCTCCTGCTTCCTTTCTCTTTTCTTCACACACACACACACACACACACACACACACGTGCACACATGCACATATAGTATTATGCATAAGAAAAGGGACACAGTATGGAATGTGGGAGCTGGACAGAAGTGAGTTCAAGTCCCAGATCTGCACTAACTGTGTAGCCTTAGACAAGTTACTTAGCCCCTCTGAGACTGTTTCCATGTTGACAAGACACAGATGACAGGATTCCATTCTATGAAGACTTCCCTAGGCAATGCAGGACGATCCTGTGGCACGACTCCCCTGCGCCTCCCTGTGGTCCTGTGCAGAACTTCAGGGTGCATCTCCCTTGACAGGGAACGATGGAGCCTTTGAAATTAATGAGACATCTGGAGCCATCTCCATCACTCAGAGCCCGGCCCAGCTCCAGAGAGAGGTGTATGAGCTGCATGTACAGGTACCCTCCCTCTAGCTTTGTCTTCCCTGCCCACCTTTGGCCCTGGAAGTCTATAAAGGTGAAGACACCCAGGCCCTTTTTCCTGGGGCCCATAGTCTGGGGAGGGGGCTAGATGTTGTTCTAAAGAGCACCTGCACCAGACATGAATTCACAAACAGGGAGTCACAGAAAGGCAAGAGGAGGTGCAACTGAAGCAGCAATGCCTGAGCATGGGTGGGATCCTGCAGGTGCATGCTGCCAGAGGCGGGCATTGGGTGGGTGGGGGTGGAGTGAAAGCATTCCAAGACAGGAAAGTGCAGCAAGCCCAGGCTGGAGGGGAGAGAACTGATATATTGGGGGAACAACAAGGAGTCAGTTGAGGCCAGAGCAGAGAAAGATGGGCAGCCTGGAGAAGGAGGAAACGTTGGACTCCCAGGCTGGGGCCAGAGGAGCAAAGGTCCTGAATGGGAGGTATGGATCTGTCGCTAGAGCCGGGCATGTGACCTGTGAAGTCACACAAGGACTATACTTAGGAGGATCCCACACTAAGCTTAATGCTCGCTGTTTGCTGTCTTGGAATTCTTAATAATTTCACCAAGGGATCCCATATTTTTATTTTTCGCTGGGCCTGCAAATTATGTAGCTGGTCCTACCCAAGAGCAGTAAGGAGCCATTGGAAGGTTTTCAGCAGGATTACAGCCACTTGAAAAGTTCACCTGGCTGCTCACCAGACCAGTGGAGTTCCCAAATTTGGAGATTTGGGCCAACCAAGATTTTCAGGATCCACTCCCGGGCATAGGAATTCAGTGTGTTTGGGGCAAACCCAGGAATCTGCGTATTATAAGCACCCAGGTAATTCTGGTACCAGTCCCAGCCAGAATTTGAGAACTCTGGTCTCAACTTGGGTTCAGAGGGAACTAGATGAGAGGTAGAGCCATCGGCCAAAGTAACAGAGGAAGACAGCCTGTGGGGCTGAGGGTAGGTGGGATGGAAGAAAGGGACAAAATGAAAAGTATGCATGAGGCAGATTGCACAGAATGAGGAAATTGCCTGATCTTGAGGGAAAGGGATGGGAGAGGGATAGATGAAGCCCAGGTGGTCCCGTGCCGTCAGGAGTACAGGACAGCAGGCAAGTGAAGTAGGTGAGGAAGGATGCATTTGAAGGCTCGAGGGACATGCAAGTTCAAACATCAAAACTTGGGCATACAGGTTTGGAATTGTGGGAGAGAATGTCAACCTACAGGTAGCTGTGGAAGGCATGGGAGGGAATAAAAGCACCCAGAGGAAGAAGAAGAGAGAGGACAATTGGCCAAGCACAGCTGCGGGAGCTGTGTGAAGAGGCTGAGAGTGAGGAGGAGGAGAGGGGCAGGTAAAGGAAACCCAGGAGGGATCAGAGAGGTTGAGGAGAAGATGTAGAGAGCAGAGTCACATTGCTGTGGGAATAGAGCACTTGGGAAGGAGAAAGAGTAGCAGTGCCACATACAGTGTGGAAGTCAGGGTGAAGAATCTGAATGAGGGGTGGGATGAGAATCAAGAGGGATAGCAGTGAAAGTGTCAAGGAGTGGAGTCCAGGTAGGGTTATTTTAGGATACAAAAGACCAGAGCATGCTTACAGAACAAGGGAAAGGTGGTCTTGAAGAGGTTCATAGGATATCTGCCACATGGTTCACAAGGTACCTATGGGATCTTTGCCCTGGCTTTGTAGGCTGTATTAGTTATCAGCTGCATAACTAATTACCCCAAACTTAGTGGCTTAAAACAATACACATTCATATCTCATAGTTTCTGTGGTTCAGGACTCCAGGCTCAGCTTGGCTGGGTCTTCGGTCTCCAGGTCCCTCACATGGTTGCAATCAGATTGTCAGCCAGGACTGGGGTCTCATCTGCAGGCTTGACTGGGAAAGGGTTGGTTTCCATGCCCACCCAATTATTGGCAAGACTCAGTTCTCTGTGAGCTGTTGGACTAAGAGGTTCAGCTCCTTGCTGGCTGTTGGCTAGAGGTCACCATTAGTCTCTGTTAACTGTAGCTTCCTGCTTCATCAAAATCGGCAAGAGAGAGAGTTCACAAGACAGACGTTACAATCTCTTGTCATGTAATCATGAAGTGATAGCTTGCCATCTTTGCCATATATTATCAGTTAGAACCAAGTTGCTAAGCCAGGACACACTCAAACGGAGGGGATTATACATTCTGCAGGGGAGGTAGGAGCTGGACCATATGAAGGGTCCACCTGCCACACAGCCATAGCCACTTGTCCCCATCCCAGGTGACTGAAATGAGCCCTGCGGGGAGCCCAGCTGCCCAGGCCACCGTCCCAGTCACCATCAGGATTGTGGACCTCAACAACCACCCGCCAACATTCTATGGAGAGAGCGGACCCCAAAACAGGTTTGAGCTGTCCATGAATGAGCACCCACCCCAGGGAGAGATCCTGCGGGGCCTCAAGATCACCGTCAATGACTCCGACCAGGTGTGTGGTCCTGCCCTCCGCTCTGCCTTCTCACAAACGGTATGAAGCCAAGGTCCCAAAGCTAAGTGGGTCTGCATCAACCTGCTCTGCGTATGTAGCCGGGACCAGGTGGGCCACAAAATGAATGAAACAAGAAGTTGTAACCAAGGGGGAGAGGAGGGAGAGTAACCAATCAAAGACTATCTGCTTAGCCTAAAGGCACTCACAGTCCATTCACAAGGAAAAGTCAGATGCAGAAACTCTCTTAATAATATCTCCCAGGGTTAAGGGCACGTGAAGACTTCTATATAGTATGATTATGAATTTCTATCATCATTCATCTTCCTTGTTTCCACTCTCCAAATTCTCTAGGGAGCCAATGCCAAATTCAACTTGCAGCTGGTGGGACCCAGGGGCATCTTCCGAGTGGTTCCACAGACAGTCCTGAATGAAGCCCAAGTCACAATCATTGTGGAGAACTCAGCTGCCATTGACTTTGAAAAGTCCAAAGTATTAACCTTCAAGGTAGGTGGTGCCCTGAATTCACTGCCCTGAATGGGAGGGTCCCAGGAATTCATACCAGCATCTTGGTTCATTCCTGAGGGGTCTCTTGTCACTCTCTGCCCTTCCTGGCCCTACTCTTTTCTTCTCCAGCCCTCTGCCCCTCCTGCAGATTGCTCACAGATCCAGCCTCACTGAGCTTCCTGGCTTCCACACCACAACCAGCCCCAGGAATGCAGGTGGTGGTGTGGGATCAAAGGAAAACTACCAATATAATTTGCCATGTTAATAGATTGAGTAAACTATTTTATTATCAAGATAGATGTTTTATCATATGCCTTGACATTTGTCATCTCTTCTGATAACAATCTTAGCTGAAGAGGAAAAAAATACTTCTGTGATATCATTTGTAATTATGTAAAATCATAAATGTATTATAAAATGCATATCATATATGAACATATATAATATGTTAATAGGAAAAGTAAATACTTCACTGACACTATTAAAATTATCTTATTTATAATTATACACATATACACATACTCTCCTATAGCCTGCATCATGCTTAAAAGTGAAATACTATTATAAAAGCAATCCATGAAATTAGGAACAAAGCATGGATGCCTGCTATCACCACTACTATTTAACACAATTCCTGAAATAACATTGTTCCTGGATAAGGAAAGGAAGTAAGAAGTTCAAACTTTAGAAAGGAGGAAAAAAGACAGTCATTATTTGCAGGTGATGATTGTTTGCTTAGAGAATCTGAGAGAAAAGACAAAAAAAAAAAAAAAGAAACTCTTAGAAACTCAGCAAAATTGCCAACATGGCTGATTACAAAGTTAATGCACAAAATCCAGTAGTTTTCCTACATACAAAAAATAATAAGAAAATATGGGATAAAAATTATCTTTTACAATAACAACCAACACATAAAATTTGTAGGAATTACCATAAGAAATATGTATCATGCAAATGATGAAAAATGCTAAATTTCACAAAGAGACATAAAGAAAGAGATGTAAAGGCATACCTTGTTTAAAAAGTTCAAACTCTCCTTAAGTTAATAAAGAATTTGGTTGGGCGTGGTGGCTCACACCTGTAATTCCAGCACTTTGGGAGGCCGAGGGGGACAGATCGCTTGAGCCCAAGAGTTTGAGATCAGCCTGGGCAACACGGCAAAAGCCCATCTTTACAAAAACTACAAAAATTAGCCAGGCATTGTGGTGCACGCCTGTAGTCTCAGCTACTTGGAAGGCTGAGATGGGAGGATGGCTTGAGCCTGGGAGGCAGACGTTGCAGTGAGCTGAGATAGTACCACTGCACTCCTGCCTGGAAATAGAGCCAAGACTCGTTTTTTTTGTTTTTTTTGTTTTTGTTTTTGTTTTTTTTGTTTTTTGGTTTTGTTCATTTGTTTGTTTTGAGACAAGAGTCTCACTCTTTCCCCCAGGTTGGAGTGCAGTGGCACAATATTGGCTCACTGAAAACTCTGCCTCCCAGGTTTAAGTGATTCTCGTGCCTCAGCCTCCCGAGTAGCTGGGATTACAGACACACATCATCACACCCGGCTAATTTTTGTATTTTTAGTAGAAATGGGGGTTTCACCATGTTGGCCAGGCTGGTCTCGAACTCCCGACCTCAGGTGATCCACCCGCCTTGGCCTCCCAAAGTGTTAGGATTACAGGTGTGAGCCACTGCGCCTGACCTATTTTTTTGTTTGTTTTTATTTTTTTAAAAAAAGAATTTAATGCCCCCAATTAACTCTTCCCTAGAATGTCCTTTGGACAGGTGGCAACAAGGCTTGACAAAATTAAACTGGTTTTTATATGGGCTAATAAACTTATAAGAATAGTTAAGACAATTGGAACTGGAAAGGATATGCAGCTCAGTGGAACAAAATAAACTGACCCCAATACAGATGGGAATGATAAGAAAGCTAGCATTACAAGCCAATTGACGGGGTAGGGGAAGATGCCAGGCCTTAGAGGTGACCCTTACAGGAATAGCTGGTTGGCAGCTGCGAGGAAGATCGGGAGACACGGCAGATGGATGCCACATCAGTCCTGGGGAGATGAGGTGGGAAGGCTCTCTGCAGCATGAGTGCCTACCCAGACAAGTCCCCATTTTCCCCCCTTCCCAGCTCCTGGCTGTTGAAGTGAACACCCCAGAGAAGTTCAGTTCCACAGCGGATGTTGTGATCCAGCTCCTGGACACCAATGACAATGTCCCCAAGTTCGACTCCCTCTACTACGTTGCCAGGATTCCTGAGAACGCCCCAGGGGGCTCCAGCGTGGTGGCTGTCACAGTGGGTTGGGCACTGGCCCAGGGACTGGGTGGGATAGGAGGCCTTGTGAAGCCAGACAAATCTGGAAGGTCATTGCAGTTTGAGTGGCAGAACCCACACTCATTAGCTGTCCTTGGACAAGCTACTTGCCCTCTCTTAGCCTCAGTTTCTTCATCCATATGATGGGTATTACAACACCTCACAGGACAGTAATGAGGATATATGTGTAAACAACAATCACAGGGCATGGGACCCATCCCCTCTTCCTCATTTATAAAGGAGGGATGAGTGTTTTCCAGATCTAAATCTCTTGGCTCTTTCAATACTTAAAACTTCTTGGAGGAAAACTAGGGATCCCGGGCAGGTCTCTCCACCAATTTCTCCCCAGTTGGGCAAACCCCAAATCCCCTTGCTTTGTGGTTGAAAGCAACCCTCAGGGCATGGGAGCTGCCAACATACCCTGACAAAGAGGCACGTGCCACCCAGGGCTCTTTCTCTTCCAGGCTGTGGATCCAGATACAGGACCCTGGGGCGAAGTGAAATATTCCACCTATGGGACTGGGGCAGACCTGTAAGTAGATCCAGAATCCAGGACAGGGCCTTGGGCAAGGGGATTGGAAGGCTGAGGGTGGAGGAGGTCTGTGGCAGAGGCAGGAGGGGCCTGGGAGGGACAGGAGCCTGGGTGAAGAGAAGTGGAGAGAGGCAGTGGAAAGCTGAAGCAGAGGGTGAGGAAGTTCAGGGCCCAGGACCTCAGGAGCCAGGCAAGCAGGGCTGGCTGGGGAGGGGGCAGGCCATAGGAAGAGAGAAAGACTATAACTGGAGTTGCTAAGCTGGATAGTGATAGATGGGTGAGTCCACATGTGGATCTACCTCACTTAGATTGCAAGGATAGGAGGGAGCAGGTAGGACACTTTGGAGGAGCTGCATGACACCTCACTCCTGCTTCAGGAGGCAGCTCATTATTGCAGGCATGTGTATGTATGCACATATGTGTATATGCGTGCACACCCATGCCTATGTGCTCTGCCTGGCAGCTTCCTGATCCACCCATCCACTGGGCTTATCTACACCCAGCCCTGGGCTAGCCTGGACGCTGAGGCCACTGCCAGGTACAACTTCTATGTGAAGGCAGAGGACATGGAAGGCAAGTACAGCGTAGCTGAGGTGTTTATCACACTGCTGGATGTCAATGACCACCCCCCTCAGTTTGGAAAGAGCGTTCAGAAGAAGACGATGGTGCTAGGGACCCCAGTGAAAATTGAGGTAAGTTTTGGAGGCAGCTGAGCTCCCCTAAAAGCCTGGGTCCAGCAGCTCCAAGAGATACTGAGGCATAAGAATTTCATTGAAGATAAAATTTTTTGGCTTCCCACCATGGACAAAGGACTTTAAGACATTTTGTATATCCCCATCCCCACCTCAACAGAGAATTAAACTCTGAGAAAGAAGATATTGCTATTCAACAAATGAAAAAAACAGGCCAGGTGGGTTAAGTGTTTGGCTTGCCTTCACATAGCTGGTCTGCCTGCTTTTCAAAAGAGTGGTTTTCTCACCGCACTTTGTCATTTTGCCAATGTGGCAAAAAGGATGAACTCTGAAACCCAGCAGACTTGACTTTGAATCCTGACTCCCTTTCTTATACCTCTGCATCCATGGGAAAGCCACTTTGCATCTAAGCTTTCATTTCTGCATCTGTAATATGGATTCACCAATATTTGCTTCCTAGACTTGTTCTGATAATGGAATCGGCTAGCCCATGTGTAAGACCTACGTAAACCCTGGCTTATAGGAGAGCATGCATTCTGTTCCTTTCCCAACTCAATCCTCTCAAAATAGGATCAGGACCATTTCCCATCAACCCAGCAAGCCCCATATGACGTGCTGATTTAGCCAGAGTACACAAGGATTGTCCCCAAAGCCCAGCTCTGTCTGTCTCTCCCTGCGCACAGGCCATAGACGAGGATGCAGAGGAACCCAACAACCTGGTGGACTATTCCATCACCCATGCAGAGCCCGCCAACGTGTTCGACATCAATTCCCACACGGGGGAGATCTGGCTCAAGAATTCCATCCGCTCCCTGGATGCCCTGCACAACATCACACCTGGAAGGGACTGCCTATGGTCCCTAGAGGTGCAGGCCAAGGACCGGGGCTCCCCATCCTTCAGCACCACAGCCTTACTCAAGATTGACATCACAGATGCTGAGGTGAGTACAAAGCCATGGTCAGGAAAAAGGGGTCAGCAGGCCAGCTCAGACCTCTCTGCAACGTGGGCAGAGCGAGAAGGACCATCTCCAGGCTTCCTCCAAAAGACACTCAACGTTATCAAAGGCAGCCTGTGCCATCAAACACACAGTCTTTGGAAGCGGGTTGAGTTTCTAGTTCAATACTTATTAATGGTGTGACTTTGGGCTTTGCTAAGCCTCTGTTACCTTTCCTGTAAGATGGGATAAGGATGCCTCCTTCACACGGGTGTTGAAAAGCAGAGTGAAGTCATTATGTGTAGCTCTCAGCTCAGTGTCTGGCAGAAAACTAGTCACTTAAGAGACTCCTGATACATCTGGGCAGATGGACCCCCTCCCCCACTTGCCACAATCAAAGGCAAGTGATCTCCTACCATCTCAAGGACAGACTCCAGCTAAAGCAGGAGTTCTGAATCCAAAAGAGGTTGCTCGCATTGCGTTCTGTCTGAGCATATTGTACCAGAGAGTGGTCTGCACCATGCTGGGTCTGCGTGCATTTTTCTGGAGAACTGCATGCATCATGCTCTCTCTGTGTGCATTTTCCTGGACAAAAGCCCATAGTGCCTATCAGATTCTCAAAGGGACTCCTGACTCCAGAAAGTTTAAAAACCATTAGGCTTAAGGAAGCACATACCTACTCTGTACTCCAGGGACCAGGTGGGAACAGCTGAGTGCAGGGAGTGGCTTTCTCTTTCAGACCCTCTCCCGGAGCCCCATGGCTGCCTTCCTGATACAGACCAAGGACAACCCCATGAAGGCCGTGGGTGTGCTGGCCGGCACCATGGCCACCGTCGTGGCCATCACTGTCCTCATCTCCACCGCCACCTTCTGGCGCAACAAGAAGTCTAACAAGGTCCTGCCAATGCGGCGGGTGCTCCGCAAGCGGCCCAGCCCTGCGCCCCGCACCATCCGCATTGAGTGGCTCAAGTCCAAGAGCACCAAAGCCGCTACCAAGTTCATGCTCAAAGAGAAACCTCCCAATGAGAACTGTAACAACAACAGCCCAGAAAGCTCTCTGCTCCCGAGAGCTCCGGCTCTCCCTCCACCACCCAGCGTGGCGCCCAGCACTGGCGCAGCCCAGTGGACCGTGCCTACTGTCTCTGGCTCTCTCACTCCGCAGCCGACCCAACCCCCGCCAAAACCCAAAACTATGGGAAGCCCCGTCCAGTCAACTCTGATCTCTGAGCTCAAGCAAAAGTTTGAGAAGAAGAGTGTGCACAACAAGGCTTACTTCTAGTGTATGCCCTATGACCCCCCATCTTTCCTCCGCCCCTGACCCCCACCACCCTGCTGCTCGGACTATGCTCCCCTTCCTCTGCTCCTTAAGGTCACTGACCCCTGTTTTGCACAATGGTATAATCCCCACTGTCCTCATCTCTACCGCCACCTTCTGGCGCAACAAGAAGTTGCGCTCTGACAGGGCTCTAGTCAGGGCCTTGGGCAAGACATTGGGCTCTAGGATGCAATTGGCAAATACGTCCCCGTTACTCAAATCCTTGGCACTACTACAATGCCCTCCATTCTTCAGGGCTGAGAATTGACGAGAAGCCAGCTCACCCATCCCAGACCTCACAGTCCCTCAGGTTCTACTGGGATCTCATCATCATCCTTAGTCAAGCAGCAGGGCCCTGGCCACGTGGAGCAACACTGACTAGAATCTGGATCCTGACGCCTGCAGCTGAGAGCAGGAGCAGGAAAAGGAGGCTCAGCACTGTCTCAGGCTGGAGGTCAGCGAACCTCGTGGGCTGTAGGAAAGCAAATGTAGGTAAGGGGAGAGCAAGGATGCACAGAAAACACACTGACTGTGGGACTGTGCCAGGATGCATTTGGAAAGATAGAGCATTCTGTCTGGGCAGAGACTGTGGACCCTGGTATGCCCACGTGGGACAGAGGACACAGAGGTGGAAGATTGATCTTGCCAAGAGTGAGGGCAGATGTCTCCAGCCAGGACTGCCCTGAGCCGCAAAATGTCAAAGCTGGAGCTATAGAGGTAGCCCTAAAGGCAACTAGAAGAGCATCAGGGCTGCTCTCTGAGGAGCTGCCCCACCAGCCATCCTTGAAGAGACAATTCAGGGCAGTTGATGAATATCAGGGCTGAGATGTGGTGAGACTTCCGTTTTTATCCAGCTCTTTTGCTCACATCGCGTAACCTTGGGAAAGCTGTTTAAAGTCGCTGATCATCCTCTTCCTCATCTGTAAATGAAGAAAGTAGGCCCTGTCTACCTCACATGCAGGTCTAGGGTGAGGATTGAAGAAAATAGTGGTGATGAGGGCTTTAACCAAGTGCAAAGCGGCATGAATGCAAAGTATTTTTCTGCAGCCCAGTTCTGTGGGTGCAGCTCTTCCAGAAAGTATTAGGAGCCTCACATCTACTCTGCCAAGCGCCCCAGCAGGCACTGTGCTGGGCTTAGGGGCTACCACTGGATGATGGCATTGCCGTGACTCACACACCTCTACTTCTGTTCTTCCCTCACTCCATCCCCGCTACCGTCCTGGCCAGCTACCGTCAGAGAGAACCAGAGCTCCAAGTCTTTAATTTGCCAAGATGAAGAAAATGAGTTCTCAAGGAGGGAATGCTTTGCTTGAGGCCACACAGCAGGTTGGTAGCAAAGATCTTGTCTAGCCAGGGCAGCCCTTATCAGCTTGTGACAACCTTCCCCAGGACAGAAGTCATACAAGGCCTCTGGGGTTAATACAAATAGGTTGTGCCCTGCTTTAAGGAACCTGCTATCAGGAAATCTACATGTGTGCACAGAGAGAGAAAAGTAGAACAGTTCTTTGCATTTGGCTCTACTTACTAACAACCCCTCTAGAATACATTGGTGATTTCATTTAAAGAGATTGTATGCATTTGTGGCTTTCCTGATTTCTGAGTCTGTGTTTGGAGGTGTTACTGAGATGTGCCAGTGTGCAGAATCCTTGCTGGGGTTTCTACAGTCCCCAACGTGAACAGTATTAAGCAAGAGGTGGACTCGAGCAATCCAGGAGCCCAGACTGAGCAAATAAGTACTTTCCAGCCTGTGTTTCAGGAGAGGACTGTGCTGGATCATGCTTGCCCTCCACAGGGAATACAGCATCCTTACAGCTTGCATGCAATCAACCTCTTTTGTAAATGGAAAATAAAGTCTGTTACCCAAAGGCCATGCTGATCCCCTGCTCCCTGCTTTCATTTATGTTTGCTGACCTGTGGAGACCAGTCTTTCTGACACACAGTGAAGCTCAACTTGCCTCCTGGCTGCTTCAGCAGGTGGATCCATTCTTCGACCCCCAGATGTGACTCTAAAGAAGGCTGAAAATTTTTGTCCAAATTGCCATGCAGATATCTTGAACAGCAGGACATTTGCAGGCCTTGTCTACTGGACTTTTCTCCCAAACAGGACAAGCCCAGGCAGGGCTGCATGGAGAGGAATGGAACCTGGAGCTAGAATTAATTGCCCACTCTCCCACCCTACCAGTGCAGCCCGGCAAGGGCAGGAATTGGGAGGCCTAGGGTGGGCATGAAAGCTTGGGAAGCACTGTCGTCTCTCAGACAGGCGTCCTAAAGACCTCTAGGCTGGAAGCTTGGGCTTGCAAGTGGATCCGGGACCGAGGGTGGTCTCTTGGACAACCCCAGGAACTTGGACCAAGGCAGAGCCAATCTTGCAAACTGGCCATGGATGGGGAAGTGCCCGGTAGCCAGCATGAGCCACACTAGGAAAGAGGAGGAGGGTGCAGCCAAACTTAAGGCACCGGCAAGTGTTGTCAGCACTGGAGGAGACCCCGCCAGTGGGGTGAGGCCAGCCAAGTCCCTGTGTTACGAATGGTGGGCCAAGGGGCTGTCTGCTAGGTCCCAGTAGGACAGGCAGAGCTCCAGGCTGGCACCATGGTAGGCCTCCAGGGAAAGAGCTGGGAGGCAGGAATGGCACACTGGGCAGGCTTGCCCATTCCTGGCCCTGAGAATGGAGCTGTAGCCTCATGGACAATAAATGGATGTGACACCAAATACTCTGCAGAGTCATTTTCCTCCTGCGGCTGAGCTCAGATCTTCCAATCACGTGAAATAACAAAGTCCTTTACAGTTTGACAGCCCTAGGTCTGAATTCTGGTTCTGCCATTAATTGTGACTTTGGGCAAGAGGTCAAGTCTCTCTGGGCCTCACTTTCCTCATTAACACAGGGTGCAAAGTATGGTTGCAGAGAGGATGAAAAGATCTAATATATGTAAAGTGCCTAGCACCGGCTTTGTATCTACTTACACAAGCTCAGTAGACACTTGCCGTGACTGTGGCCCACATACTAGAACACCATGTCCTGAAAGAGAGGACCCCCTCCATGCATCCTCACCCCCCAGGATGTTTCCACCCACCTGTAGGTCCAGAAGCTTTTACTTCATGCTAGAAAAAGAGAAGAGAGTGGATCCAGAGGGGAGTGGAGGACAGGGCAGATGCCACAGCATCTGTGGCCTGTGTAGCCGGCAGCCTGCATTTGGGCGTTGACATTCCAGGGGAGTTAGGAACAATGAGAGGTCTCTAAGAACTTGTGGCACTCTGTCCTCAAGCAGCTGTCCCTCAGAATCCTGCTAGAAAAGTGTGATCAGAGCTGGGAAGGAGCCACCATGCTCTGCTTCTCTAAGGATTTCGGTGATTCTATTTTTAGGGACTGAAGGCGTTGAGGGAATCCAAGGCCAGTCCACCTGCCAGGGGTGTTGGCATCTGTTGACAGGCAGTGGCACATCCTGACAGTCTTCAAGGCCTTGGCCACCAAGGGATGGAGAGGGAGAATGGAGAAGATGCCACATGAGGAATGAGGCAGGAGACTGGCATGTGCCACATGGAGGACCCCTTAGGAAACTCACAAACAACCTAGGGAGGGGTTCTCTGAAGGGCCTAGTTTCCAGAATGAGGCGGTCATGGCTTAAGCGACCATCATTTGATCAATAAAGCAGAGTAGCAACAGGCTGATGTTGGGGACATCGGTTTGATGTTATAAAATCGTGCACATGTACCCCTTTTGAGGCCTGAATGAGGTTCGGTTATTTATTCATTTCTCAATAATTTACTCAGCCATTCCTAGGGTGACAAGTTTGGAGTATATCTTCTGTGCCAGGCTCTCTTCTAGGTGTTAGGTGTATGTCTCTAACAAGATAGAAGGAAAGAAGAAAAGAAAAAGAACAACATTCCTCTCTTTAATTGCTAATCGCCTGGGCCTAGGGAGTCTTCATTTTAAAAGCAAGTAGCCCTGCTTACAAATGTCTCCTCAATCAAAGGCATTTGCCTTAAACTTGTATGGTCTAAACTCTAAATAAATAAGCTTCTCAAGGGCATGACAACTATATCGGAAACTGTAGCATCTTTTCAACATGAATTAAACAGAACATGTGAAGGATATTAGCCCAGATATCATGTTATTACATATATATATTTATAAGTATACACACATATGTAGTCTTAATAAGATGTGATATTCCAAATGGCCCTATGTGCTGAGTCACATTCAAAGAAAGCACAAACTGATGTAGATGCCTGAAATGATGGTAACATTTATTATTGTGACATTTACTGAGGGTTTACTATGTGCCAGGTATTGTTCTGAGAACTTTGTATGTTAAAAAAAAAGCCTCGTATAATTACCAGAATAACCCTATGAGGTAAGGACTGTTATTATCCCCATTTTACAGGTGAGAACACTAATGTACTATTATTATTCTATTTTATAGGTGAGAAGACTAAGGTACATGAAAAATAGTAACTTCCCTGGTACAACAAAGTCAGTAAGAAAACCAAAATTTAAGCCCAAGAAACCACATTCCAGCCAGGGTCTGTTCTTGCATCCCCACTGCGAAATTGCCTTATTCAATCTGAGTAATGTGAATCTGTACTCTAGAGTTTTTCAAGGGGCAGCCCAAGCATCTTAAAAAGTATCAGATTCTCAGAAATCCTCCCTAGACCATTTTCCCTCTCCCTAAATTTCTATGTTTACAGAAGCAACTGAATACTTCCCTACCCACCAACATGCTCCTGGCTCTCCCCTGCACTGCTTGCTGCTCTTCCACAGCCCTTCTCTCATCCTGACCCCTCTGTCTCATGTGCACCACCAAGCTTCTTTTGCTTGGCTTGAAGGTCTGAACATCCACTCTCACCTTCATGGTAGCCCAGGCTATTTCATGATGGTGACACCCTCAAGATCCGTAGACCACTGTATTAGTTCGTTCTCATGCTGCTAATAAAGATACCCGAGACTGGGTAATTTATAGAGGAAACAGGTTTAATTGACTCACAGTTCTGCATGACTGGGGAGGACTCAGGGTGGAAGGGGAAGCAAACATGTCCTTCTTCACATGGCGACAGGAGAGAGAAGAATGAGAGCTGAGTGAAGGGGGAAGCCCCTTATAAAACCATCAGATCTTTTGAGAACTTACTCACTATCATGAGAATGGCATGGGAGAAACTACCCCCATGATTCAATTACCTCCTATTGGGTCCCTCCCATGACATGTGGGGATTATGGAAACTAAGATTGAAGATGAGATTTGGGCGGGGACATAGCCAAACCATATCAATCCCCCTTGATGCTATGGAAGGAAGTACAGAGAGGCCACAAGAAGTACAAGTTCTTTTCTTGCTCCAACCACTTTTCTTCAAAAATTTATCATAGGAAATTCCACATTAATAAATTATCTACTACATTACATGTATGTGTGTGTTTTACACATGTGCATATCTAAATATATATATATGTCCATCTAATTTTAAAATATCTGCTCTTAGGAGTGGTAATAACATTGTGTTTATGTTTTTTAAAACTTCATCTGTTAGACCTCAAACTAAAACATTTACAGGTAAATTGGTGTGAAGCTTTGTATTTGTTTTAAAACACTCCAGTTAAAAAAAAATGTTGAGGGCAAGGACAAGATGAAATAAGCTTGGGAAATGTTAAAACTTGCTGAAGGTGACAGAAGAGGAGGAATGAGATTCTCTCTACTTTTGGCGTGACTAAAAATTTTCATTTAAAAGTTATTTTTGCCAGGTGTAATCCCAGTACTTGGGAGACTTTGAGATGGGAGGATAGCTTGAGGCCAGGAGTTTGGGACCAGCCCAGGCAACATAGTGACCCCTGTCCCAATTTTTTTTTTAATTTAGAGTTTTTTTTTCTAATGCCCAGAAGAAAACAAATGAGTAGAATCTGAAGAAATGAGCGGACAATTAGTCTGAAAATGAGAGCCATCTTCAATTTTTTAAAATTTATTGTTAACTAACATTGATTATGAACACAATCCAGGTATTAGACGAGTGCAGTGGCCACCGTGAGGAAGGTCAGTCTTTGCCTGCAAATGTCTCACAACCAATGGACACAATGTGCATACTGTCCTTTTCCCCAGAGGTGTGAAGTCAAGGAAAGCTCTGTGGAAGACGTAATGTACACACTTGAGAGAGGCCTAAAAGGATGATTAGGAATGGGTAAAAAAGGTGGGAAGGAGGAAACGTGTGGAGATGTCACAATGAGTCTAGTTCATGTTTACACTCTTAGAAAGGTTTGCATGTGGCCAGTGAGGGAAACGGCAGGGAGACAGATGTGAATTAAATCCTGGGAATGGTCTCCCCTAGAAGGGCTGTTCAGTGGGATGATGAGCTGATGTTGGGATTCTTGGGGCCCCTCCATTCCACATGGGTCCGGCTAAGAGGAAATGACCACCTCTCATGGATTTCATAGGAGGGCTTTAGACATTGACTAGGGGAAAGCAGCGGACGTATGGGTGCTCTTCCTTCTGGGTATGGCCCTGCAGAGTCTGCTCTCTGCCAGACCCAGGGCTGCAGCCAATCCCCTACTCTTCCTTGGTGCTGATGGCTCCAGCCTGCCCAGCAGCACCAAGGGCTGTGCTCACAGGGGAACAGACACCTACAAAAAGAGACTCACATTACCCAACAGCTCTCATCACCCTGATGGGCAGCTCTTTGGAACATCACATTTATGTGATCTCATTAGGAGTTTGTCATGAAGAGAGAGGGTCACACTTTATAAACAATGAAAGACACAAGAATACCGCAAAACAGGCATTCAAGGAAACGATGGAACTGGAACCTCTTTTGAATGGGGCTTCTGCCTCCTGCCAGATGTGGACTCTGGGTGTATCATTGAACTGTCCAGGCTGCAGTTTTTCACCTATAAAAAGTGGGTAGAAGTCTACCTTCGTTTACAGGATAATATATGTAAAATATTATACGTAGACATTACGTATAAGCATGTAAATGTTATAGGCTAAGTATATGCAAAGAGTAATATTTAGTGATTTCTAATCACCATGTATAATAAAATGATTAATTTGATGGACAAATCTTCATTGACTTTAACTTTACGAAGATAATGACTATGTCCCCTTTATCATGAAGATAAAGACTCTGTTTCCCTTTTTACTCTTGAACCCCCTGTGTCAAGTTCAGTGCTTGGAACACAGTGGGTGCTCAATATATACTTGCTGGATAAATGGATGGAGCTGCTGCAGAGGGTTGGTTTCAGAGGCTTGAAGCCCAAGCCGTTTCCACCCCATGGCCTGGGTTGTTCAGCTGTTGTCTTCCGTTCCTCCTTTCTCCTTGTCCCCCTCAGTGTCTATGTGCCCTTCACCGTCATCACAGACAGCTGGATGTTCTCTAAAGGAGCCATCCTTGGACTGCGGGGCTGCAGGGGTGCAGCTGGGGGCTTTCCTGCGATGAAGACAGCCGCGCAGGACCCACTTGCTGCAGCTGCAGGGGCCCTGGGCTGCCCAGGCATAGGCGCCCACAGGCACTGCAAGCAGCACCACACACAGGACCACTGTGACATGCAGGAGGTGCTCACGTGCCTCTAGCCCACCAGCATCTCTGCCTGTTACAAAAGCTACACACTGGCCCTGGTGTGGAGGCTGGCCCTCTAGGCTGAGGCAGGCCTCATATTTTGTGCCAGGAAGGAGGTCATCCACAGCATAAGTATTGATTCCGGGGCCAATGTGAACCACCTCCTTCCTGAAGGCTTCATCCGATGCAATGTAGAGGGTGAACCACTCCTCCTTAGAGGTGTCAGCCACTGCAAGCCACTCCAGCAAAATCCCATGCACTGTCTGCTTGACAACCCGCAGGTCAATGTAGGCATTGCCCTCCGAGGGGATGGAAAGAGAATCAGGTGCATGTAGGGCCTGGGCAGGCTGGACATGGAGAGAGATTACAAGGTTGCTCTTGCCAATGGAGTTGGAGGCCATGCAGGTGTAATTACCACTGTCTACCAGGTGGGCAGCAGGTATGGCCAGCTCTGACAGAGCAGTGTCTTCTCCAGTAGAAGATGTCAACACTGGGTGGAAAGAAAAACAAAACAGCTGTGCATTTATCTGATAGACTGCTGGAAAGTGTCTAGCAATGCCAGTTTTGTTTTGTTTTGCTTTGTTTTTTGTTATTGTTGTTGTTAGAAGATGGTGGTAACCTCTTATGAACCTCGTACCTGGTGTCAGGTGTTTGCCTCCCAGCAATCCTGTAAGATAAATAACTGATCTTTACACATAGGATATTGAGGATTGGAGCAATCCATCAACTTGCCCGTAGTGAGAGTTGTTCAGAAGCAACAATTGATATGGGACCTGGCTCTTCAATCTATGAAGACCATACTCTTTCAACTTCACTAACTGCACCCACCAAACCACCTTCGCCTTGCTGAGCCATGGCTTTCAGGAGAGTTCTTGCAACTATGTGATTGTACGATATTATGAGCTTCAGGAAGTGCCTTCTTACCTTCCAGATGCACAGTTCCTCAGAGCCTGGAGCCACATGCCTGGGCTGCTATCCCTAATGGAGCTCCTATCCAGTGTGGTACTGGGCAAGTTGCTTAAATTCTCTTGACAATTTTCTTGTCAATAAAATGGGATGATAAGCAATCACCTACCTCATTAGTTTGAAAGTAAGTGTTCAATGCTTATATTTTTACTGAGAGATTATATAACACGTTGCCAAACAGTGATTATAGAACACCACGAAAGACAACACCTGTATGCATTTCTTGGTTTTCAAAGAGGCTACAACAATAAATCCTATAATTTTCTTTCATTGATATTGAATGCCAAACCAATAAGGTATTATCAAAACAATACAGAATGTGAAAATTCAGTTAATTGGGTATTTTTAAACCATCCAGAGTTTTGTCATAATGTATAACAAATACCTGGGCAAATGACTATATTTCCCAAGTTTTACCCAGCTATTCCTAGTTGTCTTCTAGACAGAGAACAGAAGACAGGACACGAGGAATGTACGAAGATTTTTCTTTTCAGCTTTGGGATACCCCCAGGGAGGCCATCCCCGGCTTTGTGATATGCCCAACCCTACAGAGTAGCATTAAAGGTAATCCCAGCTGAGGTATGAAAACAGAGCAGAGGGTTCCAGGAAGGAAGAGGCAGGTTTGAATTCCAGCCCCAGGGCCCACAGAGGTCACTTCCTTTCCCTGGGTCCCAGTATTACAAATTCAAGCCAATAAGGTCTGAACAATTTTATGTCAGTGTTATTTCAAACAAGCACCCCAGGTGATTCTGCTCAGGCAAGTTAAGGAAATAACTAATAGATCATCTCTAAAATCAATCCTAGTAAAAAATTCTAGAATTCTAAAATACATAGTCCAGTGTTTTGCATCTAGAAGATTCCCAAAGACTATATCTGCTCATATAAAATTTTATAATATTTGCATAAGATATTAAATTAGCCCTGAAATATGTGTTTATATATGTGTATATGTTCTGTATGCAAAGAGATCTGTATGCAAACATTTAAAATAATGCCAATAGTGGAACACTACCTTGAAATCTTTTCTGTTCTAGTGAGCATAATTCAGGGCTATCCCAATCTTACTTGCACCCACCCTTCGTGACTGACCCAGCTTTGAATCTCTCTAATGAGGATGGGTTTGCTACAGACCTCTCCATTCCCTCCAGATACACTGAGAGGGTGCATGTGGCTTACCATCAAATTCTCTCCACATACTCAGGGGATAAGTCCATGCAATGGATGGTGAGGGGCTGGCCTGTGCCAAGCATCGCAGGGTCACATTCTGTCCTGCCCGGATGGTGATATTGGCACTGGGGGTTGAGATCTGTGGCTTCATGCAAGCACTAAGCTCAGTTTCATGAAAAAGCTGCCCTGCCTTGGACAGAGGGCCCTGACATATCAGGTAGGAATTCACCAGGATGACTGGGAGGGTAATGGACTTGACAAACTGGACAAGCCCCCTTAGGCGACAGTCACATACCCAGGGGTTGTCATGCAGGGCCACCACCAGGCTGGAGAGAATCTCAGCCCCACAGTCAGGCTGCCGGCATTTCTGGTAGGCTGGCCAGTTCAGGAAGACACTCTTGGATACAACTGTAAGCCTATTGGAGGATAGGTCAAGGTAGGTCAGGCTGACCAAGAATTGAAGAGCCAGCTCAGGGAGTGCATCAATCTTGTTGCGTTTGAGATCCAAGACCCTCAGGAGAGGGGTGGCACGGAACGCTGTCCATGGTACTGAGCAGAGCTTGTTCCCCTCCAGTCTCAGCTCCCTCAGTTCTGGCAGGTGTTCCAGGGCTCCTAGGTGGATCACACTGATATTGTTAAAATTGAGCCAGAGGTATTCCAAGGTGCTCATGTTGATGAAAGACCCTTGGGGCATCTCAAATAAGGGTGAATTTTCAATTCTCACTTGCTTGAACTCTTCAGAAAGGTTCCCAGGGATCTTTCCCAAGGAGACAGATGTGCACTGCAGAGTCCTGTACAAGAAACCAGAACAGCTTTAAGATAAACAACAGGGGACTGAAAAGTGGGGTCAGGCTGATCCTGGCATTAGACATGTGAATCAGAATAAAAATATTATTATTCATTGAAATAAAAGAGTTAGACTCATTTTGGTAAAAATGCACAGTTCAGCAAAGTTCAGTCCCAACTAGAATGAGTCTCATAGAGTTTTGCTGATTTCCTGCCAATTCTAAGCCTGCTTCCACTCCACATCATCCCCAAAGAAAACCCATTCCCCATAACCCTCTAACATCTGGCCAGCAGAGCGCACCTGCCAAAACTCTCCTCTGAGCAAGTGCATCCTGGCAGACAGAAAGGCTGAGCTGCGTGTGTATCCAGAAAGACCAGAACTAACAGGAAGTAATGAAAAACTGAAGCCATATTTCTCTGTAAGAAAATACGTTGTGAGTTTTGAATAAGTATCGCCCCAGCTTCCGAGTGGCAAATCCTATTATTGGTAATCCATGATGATGTAAGTCACACAGCAGCAGGAAAGCCCATGGGAGCTCTGAGGTCTGTTACAGCCCAGACCACAAGTTCAGTCAGAACACACGAAGGGGGATCAATGTCTCTTAACTAGGGTCAGGAAATTCAACATTTGTGTAATTCTTGAGTCTGAAAAGCAAACTCCAAGTCAGATGTCCAATTCCATACAGATTCTACATTTCTTAGAGTCTTAAACAGAAGTCTGAGAAACAAGCAGGCAGTGCTATTCTGAGCACCACTGTTCAGGGGATGTGGCCAGAATCCATCTAATGCTTCATCATTTGCAGTTGATTCCTGAAACCTAGAATTTCCAATCATTTTCTCAAAGTGAAAATAGGTGATGAGTAACAAAGTAATTCTGTGTTCATTCCTATCATTTGTTCTCTTCCCAACACCACGGGTGGTGTAGTCATGCTCCTACTGCATCAAGACAGCTGCTTCTGCAGCTTGGGTCACCAGTTTCAAATACAAGATGGTATTTTCTGATTAAACCAAAAGATTGTTTTCTTGGACTTCACAACCTTTCCTTAATACTGTGCATTTCACTTCATCAAAATGGGCAACCTACATTTTAAAAAGAGATGTATACAATTTTATATGCTTGCTCTTTCACTCTTCATTTATTCCACAAATATTTACTGGTCATTTGCTTTAAGCTATACTCTTGCCCAATGAAAGGAACAGGGTCAAGGGCAAACCTATTATAGACCCTGTCCCAAGGAGTCTTCTCTCTTGTTTGTGCTTCTGAATCTTGAGATCTTTGGAATGTAATTTAATCTCTGTGAGTCTTTTCTGTATCATGAGAATATTAACAAATACCTCATAGTGTTTCCAGGAATTTATTTCTCATTATTTTTTAATTTTTGTATTTTTTCAGAGACAGGGTCTCACTCTGTTGCCCAGGCTGGTCTCAAACTTCTCAGCCTCCCAAGTAACTGGGATTACAGGTGCAAGCCATTGCATCCAGCCATATTTTTAGAAAAGTTTGAGATTATGTTAAATACAACACCTAGCACACAGTTGGTGCCCATTAATCCTCCTCCCACTGACAAACTCTTTAAGATCCGAAAAGTCTACATCTCTATTAACTAGGGCACTTCCAGTTGAATATTGAAATTCCATGAGTTCCTTTAAGACTCATGATATACATTGTACCCTACAAAAGGCCTCAGGAAAGAAAATCCGCTTAGCTAACCAGTGAGGGGGGAAATGGGTCACCAGCTAAGCTGATTACACTCCAGGCTTTCCATCCAAGCCAGAAATATTTGCAGGAGTTTCCAAACAGTCTAACTCTAAAACCTGGGGGGACCACTGTGTTTGTCTAAAGGTAAAAATCCAAAACAAAGAGAGAGCTATCGGCACAAAGTTTGTCATACATATGGCTATGTGCTTCCTAGATCCCCCTTCAAGGTATAAGTGGATGCTCAGCTGCAAGGAGTGCTTGCATGAGGTCACGTCCTTCCCAAAGCAGCCACATCCCACATTCAGTGACTGAGGGTGGTGAGGGCCTGGCCAGTTTGCCCTGATGGGGGAAAACTCTGATGAGCAATTATCACTCCAGAGTCCCCTACCAGCTTTGCTAAGGCTTTGTCAGGCTTGTTTCATGGAAATATGTGATTTAATTCATGACTATTCCAAACCACTAGTGGATTCCTTTCTCTCCCCTTACCCCAAAGGATAAAGATCTTAAGAGTCCTCCATTCCCCCACAATTTCCTCTCTGTCCATCTCATGCCAGCCTTTTCAAATGAATCCAGCTCCATCCAACTTTCAAGAAGTTTGCGGGAAGCTTGTGAAGCACACCCACTGGCATGCTATCTCTAGAATCATCTAGGCCACTTCTCTACTGCCCCCCACTCCTTTCCTGACCCCCTCATTCTCTGGTTTCCTTATTTGGCATATGAACAGAGGGAGTGGCTCTCTTGGAAATTGAGGCAGGAGACCAGGATAATTGAAGTTAGCATGGGTCAAGTTATTTATGTTAAACAACCTGTGGTTCAGTGTAGTCCCTAAACTCAAGAGACCCTAACAACAATGGCAAGAGGGTCTGGAAATATTACAACCCATCTTCCCTCTTGCAGGATGCTTTTCAGAACTAGGGTCTTAAAATTCTCCATAGAGACAGAGTCATGGGGGAGGAATTACTCTGTGTTTGTGAAATGCTTAGATATAAATGGCTGCAGGGAGGCAGCTCCCTGGCTTGTCTTAATAGAATCTTAATAGGAGAGTGTCCTATCTATTCAATTGGAAAATGCCACTCACCTTCCCAATATTAGTAAAACACTGGGCTACCTCAGACAGAGAACAGGGCATCCTATCAGGGAGCAGACACGCTGTACTCCGTTTCTCTGAAGCTAGGACTCTTTCCCACCCCCATCGTCTGCTGCCAGCATGTCTGAGATGCTGCCTCAGCTACCCACGCTCTTAGGTATGCCTGTGGCAGAGACACAAAAGACCTTTCCAAGCCTCCTTGAAATAGGTGGGCTACAAGACTCTTGATCTAGCTAATGAAATGTTACAAGAAATGAGGTTTGAAAAGCCCTAACATGATCTTCCAATTTATCTTTTTCCTTGTTGTGGCAACCACTGACATTCCAAATGGTGGAGTCTTCCCAGCCATGTCCTTGAGTAAATTAGTGAAGCAGAGCCCTCCCTCCTTCTGTATTTCCCAAACTTAAGTAGAGTCTGTGGAACAGGAATACATTTTTCCGTGTTAAGCCATGGAAATTTGGGAATGGTTGCCTAAGCATAAATCTAACCTATCCTAACTACAATGCCCTTGTGAATAAATATGCTCAGGTACTTGTATGTTGATTTTTGCCTTTGTTAGATTATATGATAATTAAGACAAAAATTTCCAGCTCTTGTCCTCTAGACAAACTGCTCACTGAATCCCTCGATTGATAGCCTAGGTTTGATAGCCCACATCCACTTTCCAGAGCACAATTTCTGTATTTGCCTTTTTGTACCCAGCAACTTCAATGGGCAAGTGACCTTGGACATATTCTCTGCTTAATCATGAGGAATAAAACCATGTTGCAGTCATCAAAAGACATCATGAAGATGCTATGATTCCAACCAACCTACAAACCAGGCTTCCAAGGCCAGCTATGCTGCAGCCTCGCCATGGCCCAAATTGGTCTTCAGCATTGGAAGGCCAGAAATTCTTTTGCCAGGATACTCAGAGGGCATTCAATTTTCAGGGACTAACTCATACTCATCAGACTCACATACTAAAAGACTAAGGTAAGCCAGACATCATTTTATTTTTTACAATAAGAATGTGTTTCTTCCCATGACTTGAATATTCATGAGCGTAATCCAGGATGATTCTTCTCTACAAGGGCAAACCAGGGAAGACAGGATACACAAAGGAAGGTTGACAGATGAGTTTTGGGAGGCTTATCATCTTGGAGGCTGTATTAGTCCATTTTCACACTGCTGGTAAACACATACCCAAGACTGGGTAATTTATAAAGAAAAAGAGGTTTAGTGGACTCACAGTTCCACATGGCTGGGCAGACCTCACAATCATGGCAGAAGGCAAGGAGGAGCGAAGGCATGTCTTACATGACATCAGGCAAAAGGATTTGTGCAGGGGTACTTCCATTTATAAAACCATCAAATCTCATGCGACTTATTCATTACCACGAGAACAGTATGGGGGAAACTGCCCCCGTGATTCAATGATCTCCACCTGGCCCCACCCTTGATTCATGGGGGTTATTACAATTCAAGGTGAGATTTGGGTGGGGACACAGTCAAACCATATCAGAGGCCTTTCCATCCAGACCATGAAAATAGGTCCCAATAAACCATTGGATCATTGGCAAGATTGAATTCTCTCTCTCTCTTTCTGTCTCTGTTAACATCAGATAAATACTACAGATTTCTTGCTTTTAAGTTCCTGATTTTTCTTCAAACAAGACTCAATAAAACTGGCTAAATGTTACTTGTCTTTAGGTCAATAACTGTCCCATCATGATTGGTTCAGACCATCATTTAAAGGCAACATCCTGATCACTTCAACAGATGACTGCTTTCATCTACTGCATTTACATTTGTCCTAATTTTGGGGGTGTCTATCACTCTCATTTATCAAAGAGTCAGAATTGAGTCTTGGGTCTCCAAAACTCACCAGAAATATCTTTCTAAATTTTCATAAGGGGTAAACAAACTACAATCTCAGGGTCAAACCCAGCCTGTCACCTGTTTTTGTAAAAAGTGTCTTATTGGAAGACATCCATACCCACTAATTTACATATTGTCTATGGCTGCTTTTGCATCCCATCAGCAGAGTTAAGTAGTAGCAACAGAGCCTAAAATATTTACTATTTGCCTTTCTTTACAGGAAAAAAGTTTGCTGGCTCCCAATGTACACAGTGTCTTTGTCATCTTACAACAAAACAGCCTCTCTTACCAATGTCTATGGTCCACAAGTTATAGTCAGGTGCACCCTCCAGGTGGTGGCAGAAGATATCCAAGAATGGAAATTCCATGCTCATGTGCATGGGTGCTCTCATGGTTCTGATCCCAGGTTTCAGTGATTTTTAAAAAGTTGATTTCTATAGTGAACCTTCTGTAGACCACATTGCAGGGATGGATACTGAATAAAGACCATCAGCCTGATGAGAAAGTTGTCAAAGAACTAGATTCTGAAAGAGAATTCATCACTTCCTTGTATAAATCATTCACCTCTTTGGTCTTCTTCTGTAAAATCAAACAGCCCAGCCTCCATAGTGGGTTGTCATGAATATCAAATGTGAGAAAACTGAGTGAAATATGTTGTAAGGTCTTTTGTAAATGTGAGGGGAGTAAGAAGCACTGCATCACACTGGCTTATGTCTAATAAATCACATGACATAATACTTACAAATACTTGGAGTCTCTTGCATAATACTAGCAAAACAATTTTCTTGGATCACTTGCTGTCCCAAAATTTCTTCAGTTGTTACCCAAAGGACTTGGCACAGGTACCCTGGATGCTCCTCATGCCAGAGATCGGCTTTATAAATAAGGAACAAATTGAGCCTTCTGCTGGGAACATTCACTTTCCCCAGTGCACAGAGACAACATCTCAGTGGTTTCCTAGCTCCAAGAAAAAGCAAACAGCAATTTTCCTTTGAAGTAACTTGATGAGCAACCAGGAAGGCTCCGAGACACCCTCAAGAACCCAGGTAGGTTTTGGTAAGAATCACAAAGGCTGCTGCATGGGACAGAGGTGAATGTGCCAGACAGCACAGAGTGTAATGAGGTCTCTTGGATCCCTCCAGCCTGACATTCTGAAAGCAAATGAGCAATGTTCTCTTGGGCATTGTCTCAAACTCTAGCATTTATCGAAAAATCAAATGATTGTCTCTAGGCAGAATAGCACCCAGAGAATAAATATTAGAATTCACTGAGGGCACAGTGGGTTATGAGTGTAGTGTGTGTGTTAGTGAGGATGGGTAACTACCAATATGGCTAATGCATAGAGAGATGGTGTGTGTGAGTGCCTATGAATTAGCATAAATGTAATCAAGGTGCAGTATAGGAGGATGGTAAGGACTTTTAACCGTGGATCCCAACTGTGTGGTCCAAATCTCAGAGCCATCTAAATTTGCCTAGCTGTGTAATCCTGGGCAATGCAGATTAAATCACTGTTCAGCACATATTCCTTGCTCTACCATCACCTCCAGGGGAGAAGTGTCCTTACTTGCCCCATCAAACTTGGGTTTGGCCATGAGACTTGCTTTGGCAGATAGAATATGGACAGAAGTGGCAGTATACCAGTTCTGAACTAAGAACATAACAGGCATTGCATGAACAATCATTCCTCTATTATCATTCAACCTCACCACGAGAGAAACCTGCCCCAGGTACCCACTGCTACTCTCCAGCCCAGGCTCCAAATGAAACACACAGAGCAGAGCCACCCTAATCAACCCACAGGCCTGTGAGTGTGAAAATAAGTGTTCACTGCTATACATCACCAAGATTTTGCTTTCATTTGTTATACAGCAAAAGCTGACTGATACAGGCAAGTTTCTTAACCCCCCACCCCAGGGAAATGGAGAGAATAGTGATGCCTGCTGCAAATGATTGTTACAAGAATTTAGCACTTAGAACACTTTCTAGTCTGTAGTAAGTGCTTAACAAGTGTTAGCGGTTGTTGCAGTAGCAGCTGCTGCTGCTGTTGTTGTGTGTAAGTATCTGAGTAAGCAGGTACCCGAGCAGGTAAGAGTGGGTGATCGTGTACTCAGGTGTCAGAGCTAAAGAAGGAGCGTGGGCAGGCAGGTGTGTGAGTTGCGGAGGCATATCCCTCAGCAGAAGTACTCATTGATTCTCCTGCCCCCTTTGACTCCAAAGGCCTGAAAGTCCACACTGGAACGAGCTGAGAGAAGCCTGTCAGCCTCGCTGACACTGTGCCGGGACAGCTCCTCCAAGCCGTCCTCGCTGTAGCCCAGTCTCTCTAGGTTGACGTAGGTAACTGTGGCCTCAGTGGAGTCCTTGTTGAAGCACTTTCGGCAGCGCTTCTGAAGAGCACTGCAGCAGACAAGCAGCGTGAGAGGCAGGGCAATGACGATGGCCACACTGATCACCACCACATTGATAAGCTGCTGAGTGTTCTCAGCATCCACCACTTCATTGGTGGAGAAAATAACACACTGCTCCTTCCGGGGCACCAGGCCCTGCACACAGACACACGCCACATACTTGGTCTTGGGCAACAGCCCAGTGATGGTCACTCTGGTCTTCCCAGGCTGCACAATCACCCGCCGCATGCTGTGCTGCCCAAAGACCGCGTAGAGGACACTGAAGGCAGTTGTGTTCTTAGCCTGGGGTGCCTTCCACACCAAGGACACGCTGTGGTAAGTGTCCCCCACCACCTTCACAGACCTCACCATTCGTGCCTCTGAGGGTCCTGCCCGCCCATCAGAGAGCTCTCCCAGGGCATCCATCTGGAAGTGCTCAAGGGTCAGCTCCTCCTTTGTGCTGGGCACAGAGGGTCCAGTGGCCAGGACAGCGGGTTTGGGAATCTGGGGGACATGCCTGGCCACCAGCTTGTTGTTGTAAGCAGCAGCTTCCCCTCCGCCACCTGTCCTTGCCCATAGTGCTCCTGGGCTCCCACTGTGTTCTGTGGAAGTCGGTGGCTCAGTGACAATCAAGGAGATAACAGTTTCAGAGGCTCCCAGGAAGTTCTTGGCTTGGCAGATGTAGTCTCCGGAGTCAAGGTGGGACACTGCAGGCAGGCCCAGCAGAGTCCAGCTCGTGCCGTCACTGGAGACTTCCTGGTGCACTAGGAGGAAAACAGGCATGTGTGGGAGAACGAATGGGCCCATCTGCCCCAAGCTGCCTTTCAGGGCCAAGTTCACAGCCCCAGGTGGTACACACTCAGGTGTCATCGTAAGAAAACACTGGCAGTCACTCAGTGTTTCTTAGACCAGCCAAGGGTATCAACATTACCTTGGACTCAAATGTGGTGAGCCTCTGGAGCCCCAGGCTGAGGCAGAGCCTAAGAATGATGCCTTCTAAATCTGACAAGTTCACACTATGGGTTTTTTTGTTATTGTTTGCTTTTTTCAGACAGTGTCTTGCTCTGTCACCCAGGCTGGAGTGCAGCGGTGTGACCATGGCTTACTCCAGCCTGGAACTCCCAGGCTCAAGTGATCCTCCCACCTCAGCTCCTGAGTAGCTGGGACCACAGGCACATGCCACCAAGCCTAGGAATATATATATATATTTTTTTTTGCGACAAGGTCTCACTATGGTGCCCATGCTGGTAACTCCTAGACTCCAGCAATCCTCCTGCCTCAGCCTCCCAAAGTGCTAGGATTGGGTGTGAGCCCCCAGCCAACCCACTATGTTCTTAAGGGCCCTGGAATTTTGCAAAGGTGATCAGCTAGATTGTGCTGGAACCCCAGCTCCTCCATGTATGAGCTGTGTAATGTAGCATTTAGCCTCTCAGAGCCTCAGCTTACTTATATGCAAAATAAGAAGGAAAATTGGGTTGCTCTTTGAAGTTCAATGTCATTATGTGCATAATACACTTAGCACTGTGCTAGACCCACATGAAGAGCTCGATAGATGGTAGCTCACATCATTAATTACTCCAGGTAATTCTGGTTTAATATTTACAACTGGGAAATTTATTATAAATATTAACACACTAAAAGAGGGTCTTCCACCAAAAAGTCAGCTTTTTGTTCTCTCAGGGTGGGCCCCAAGTCTCTATAGAGTGTCTGGTGGGATATGATAGGACAGGTCAAGAGCCACTGTCATTGTTGAATCTGTTGTCACAGTGATTTGCCTCACCTCTGGGAAGCCCCTGTCAAACTCAACTCAGACAGGTGGAAGCCCAGCTTTGCTTAGACAACTTCCCTCTGGCCCTGCCAAATCC